>NC_000010.11:11070606-11222121 GCF_000001405.40 Homo sapiens | reverse complement strand
GCCAACTCCATGGCGAGCAGAGTGAAGCCTGCTTGGGAGGAAGGTGCCTACCCACACTGGTCCATTATCTCTTCCAGGGCAGGCCAGGAAGGGGCCCATTCACTCCACCTGGGTGAACACACTTGTCCCAGGAGGCCATTTCCCTTCCTGCCTCCTCCGATTGGATCAGGCTCATTTGTTTTTCTACCCCAGATCTCTGGCAGTCCTCGCTCACCTTGCATGGGTTATTGTAAAACATCTTTTGGCATGCTGCTGCTAAAATGGAGCACTCTAAACAAATGTTCTCTTAGGGCAATAACTCCTTAATATAAACTGCATTTAATAAAACTGGTGGTGATTCTAAAAAGAAATGGGTAAGGCATATTCAGAGAAGATGTCTGGAAGAAATTTGCAATTAATATTTTACAAGACATTTAGATTCCGCAGCTTCCTCCTTGCTGTTAAAATTTAAGAGGTTTCTCAAAACTGTATTCCTCTCTGTTATTACATCCTTAATTAAATTAATTTATACAGTGAATGCTCTAATGATACTGCTGTGGATTTCAATCCAAAAGCCTTATTACCAGAGACAATATGTGTTAAGACCTTGGAAAGAGAATGACACCCAGCACGGTGCTGACACCGGCACAAGGATATTTGGCCCTGACATCTGATTATTGAAAAGATCTTGGTAGTTTTTCTGGGCCTCAGGTAAGTCTCTATTTTACTTTATTTTTTAATTGAGCTAAATTAGCTCAATAAAAAACAAAATGAAAATCTTGCAAGTTGCCTTGACAAAGATGTCCCTCTGGGAAACACAATGGTAGATAATGACATTTCTACTGAACAAACTACCAGTTAGGTTGTGCCTAGATAAAACCCTCAAGAAGGGATGCTATCTTTAACCCCAAATTGACATATCATCAAAGCAGGTGCAACCAAAATTAGTCCAAAACCATAAATGGCCCAGCAGTAGGAAAAGTCAGCCTAACAAGGCACCAAATCCAACAGCTTCTCAGGTAGCCCAGCCTGTGCAGATACACTCACAGTGTTATCTTCAGGCTACAAAGGCTCTACTTACTAGGCATCTCAAGGATGTGTGTGTGTGGTGGAATGGGTATTCTGCAGCAGAAAAGCGTGAAAGCACGAACCATGTAAGTATTAACTACCTGTCTACTGTCCACCCTTCCAGCTAGATTAGCTAGAGGCCCCCTTGGGCTCGATCCCTGCTACTTCCTGCCAATACCTAGCTTAGAGCTAGGCACACTGTAGGCACTCCATGATCATTTGGGATTAATCTCATGAAATGTCAGTAACTAATGAGGCACTGTACCTAAAATTTCTTCTGTTGCTGGAGCATCCAGCAACCACTTCTAGAGGAGATGTGTGATCAAACCAAGGGAAGGACTCCCAGACTCTCATCCCTTGCTCTGTGTTGAGCTGTTGAATTTGCTTCCTTTATGACTGCCATTGTATTTCTAGGGTTTATGTTGAGAATTTCAGGGGATGTAAAACAGAGCGTCTTCTTTGGTTACCCAGTAAGAGGCAAGTTTGAGAAACGTGTCTTCAATGATTTTGCACTGCTCCGTAAGAGCCCTGATCTGTCACCTCAATCTGGGAGTCGTTTCTCCAGCCCCATGTAAAGGGTTTCTAAAATTCATTCCTGACATGTAAAGGAGGGTGCCTTTAAATCAAAATCTTATGGCAGACACATTTGATTGCACAACAGACCATCCTATCAACTTGTTTCTGCTTCCTAACTAACCAAGTTCTTTGTGTCCCTCAAGAAAGAAAGATGGCGCATACAGAGGAAAGCAAACTCCAAACATCAATCAAGCTTGGCCGCATAATAAAAGTTCCTTATGAAACAAAACATCAACTGCAAAAGAAAATTACATCGGAAAAAACCCTAGCATTATTTGATCTTGTTTTAAATCGAAAGTTTTGGACACTTTAGAAAAAAGGCAGCAAGTGACTTTTTAATGGATTTTATCCACAGGAAAATGATTACAACCAGAAAAGCTTTAAAGTGTCAGCTGGTGATGTATTTTTTCTTTATCACTTTTAGTTTTATTCAGAAAGAAATTGAAGGCATATGGCAAAGTGCATCATTAATTTCTTATTAATTTCATAATATGAAGGCAACCAGTTAAAATAGTAGTGTACAACTTTAAATTACCGAACTCACTTGGTATTTAATGAGAGATTTAGCACAGCAGGGTCTCTGTTAAATTAAGTTGTGCCTTCACATCACAGTGGGAAAACAGGTGTATATTGGTTTAGAATTATGGAAATGTTGACTAATTTCAAGGCTTGTAATCAAACCGCAAGGCACCCTGTAATATTTTTTCTTCCAAGAATATGCATTAATCTTTTATGTCTGGTCCCATTTCTTTCTGTCCACCAAAGACTCACACAGCTAAAAGGAAAACACTTTCATGTTTTTCCTATAGCTGTTAAGGGTAATGTGTACTGGACGAAGCTGTACATAAATGCAAGATGTGAAACTCTCTCCTCATTTACCATATTTGGAATAGCAAATGTAGCAAGTGTGTGCACTGGAAAGGCTATCAGCCTTACAAATCAGATCTGACTTTTCAAATTCCTTCAACCTGCCTCAAGTAATTGGGCATATGAAACTAGATAAGGAGAAAACCAAAAATAATCCACCGACCAACTTTTCCAGCTCCCAAATTATTGTCCTTGACAGTGGGTCTGTAACATCACCTCCCCTGAATTCTACATGCAGGATTTTTAGGAAGAAAAGAAGTAACACACGTACAATATTTAAAAAATATAAAACATGTTGTTTTCTAAGAGTCAGTGTAAGAATCCCAAACAGAAGCATACTCATAAGTCGCTTTCATGCATTTCAACATGCCCCATTCATCATATTCACTCTGGGTTTCTTGAGAGCACCCTCGACTATGAAGATCGCATGCTGGGAGCTGTGTTTCTAGTAGAGGGATAAATACATATTCACCAAGCTCTGCATTCACTTAAAATATGATGTGACTTGGCATCAAACTACACTATACCTTAAATGCTAAATTAACAACAGTTCACTGTCTCAAGTAATTTTAAAAAACACACCTAGAAGGGATTCGGCATGCTCATTACTAGAAAGCATTTGTTTTTAAAAGAAGAAATACAAAGTGGTCTTTGGGTTTGATTAGGAGCCTGGGAAATAAAAATGATTTTCATCTATTATTGGCTGAGTCAGTAAATATTTGCCTTGGCTTGTTCATTCCACAATGTGACCCAACACTGCAATCTCCTAGAATCTGTGTTAAAAAAAAGTCCATTTACATGAAGAATGCAGATAAAATAATACAATTTTTTTAAAGTCACTGAGTGAAGCACTTAGACTCAATAAAAACAGCTTTACTAAGAACCACCTTAGCAGTTTCAGAGAGAAGCAGTGAAACTGGGCAGGACCATTGTGGGACCACACACTTGCTTCTTCGAACCTTCTATTCTTTGATTTCCTCGCATACAAAGGGGAATACCAAAGTAGTATGATTCAAAATCAAGGTTCTTAATTTATGACTTTTGGGTGATGAAGAACCTCATGTTGTGAAAATCTTTTGCTGAGCTTTTTGCCACTACGATCTTGTATTGTGAACGAGTCTAGGATGAATCATACAAATGCTATCTTTTCTGGGGGCCTGTGGTGGTTCAATGGTTATGTGTGCATGTGTGAATGTGTATATACACAGAGGTGTTTGTGTATGCGTTCAGAGACAAATAAAAGACACAAAGGTAGAATTATACCCTGAAAACATTAGGGACATTACCTTATCTTTCTTTTATTCTTATCAAACTAGGTTTCAATAAAATCATTATCCTTGCACTGGTTACCACAGGTGCTTCATTATAACAAATGCATGTCATTATGAACTCATCACTGATATTTGGGTCAATGGGGAAAACATTCAAACAGCATCAGGAAATTAATAGCATGAAATACATAAAAGTGCCACAAAATCCTTTAGAAAAACTGTATTCTGGTGTTCCTACATGCAACATCAGTTCATTTCTGGTGAATTGTGCCAACTATCAAATATTACTGGGAAGGAAACGGAGAAAAAAATTGTAAGCTTTGTATTTTCTGTCCTATATCAACATGAAGCCACAAATTGGGTATTAAAACACTGACTTTGTTAACCACCATTGACTGTTTAGAAACCATTAGGAGGCTTAATATTATGGCTGTAAAGGGTACATTTTGTCCTTTCAAAAGAAAATCTAAAGACAAAATTTGAAAAGGAGCTCCTGGTGAATAAAAGCTTTTTCTTTTCCATTTGCTTCTCTTGTGTGTGTTGGGTTTTTTTTTCCTTTTAAAATCTTAGCCCACCCAATACTCTTTGGCAGCCGTGGCTGCCCAGTGGGGTCACTCTGATTTTCTAACCAGGGGATGCACTATTTGAGAATGCTTCCCGTCAGTGTTAATGCCAGCGCTCCTTTATGGGCTGGCCAGCTGGTGTGGCTGCTGCAGGGAACTGGGGGGTCAGCACACACTCCTCAAAAGACCAAAGTCATTTTTGGCACTAAGAGCCCATAACTAGAACCTTCAGTTGAAAGGACCATTTTCAAGCAATAAAGTGATTCTGGTACAAAAGTAAACCGACTCACCCCAGGTAAAGTTTTAATATTGTGCAGTGCATTCTGGGCCTCAAGTGCAGCTTTTCTTGTATAAAATGTTACGAAACAACAACCTACAGAGAGAAATGAAAAGGTTTTAGAAATTTCTGTGAATGCTTTGCTTAGATATAATGGAGACTGTGGCGAACAAACAATCTACTTAAAAGGACGCACAATTTAAAAATAATAAAGCATATGAGAACAGCAATAACAACATCTCAAGCATTTACACAGTACCTTTTCATCCTAAATCATATTTATTAGCTTTACCCACGTTGGAGATCAATTCCTGACTCTGTGCCTCACCTCTCTGGAATACAGCTATTCAAGAATGAGGGTGGGAGGTGGTGGAGGAATGGGTGAGATGTGAATGGGACCTGTGTTATAGCACCTACGTGAAGAGAAGCATTTAATCACAATAACAACAGCACAAGCTTACATTAATTATAATTTTCTTAAAGTGTATCTCCAGAACGTCAGGTTTTTGAAAGACTTTCTAAACTCAAAGCTTCAGACAACTGGATTATAAGCTTCTTAAAAGCTGGGATAGTGCATTCTTCTTTATCTCCACCACATTACATGATGTAAAGTTCTGTACATATGACCCTCAATACTCATTTGCCAATACGGAAGACTGTATTTTAACTGGCTTAGAAATTAAGCTACAATACAGATGGGTACATGCCCAAACAGATGTTAGTGGACTCTGGCCCATGCATTACATATATGGCTGTGGCATACTAACTGGCAACATTTTGATTCCTCCTTTCCAAAGAGCCTGTGGGAGTCCCCGGCCCTTCCGCGCAGGCCAGCATATATCCTTTTTCCAGCCAACCTCCTCCACCAAAGAAAACGGTATGGAAATCCTAGACTATTCCTTCTGCATCCTGGAGGAGGGCTTGCACCTTCTTCAACTTGTAGATAAAGATATTGGCTATTTGTTCAGCAATATAGTTTCTCAGCACAATCAGTTTGGGAAAAGAGGGTAGGACAAAAACTTGAAATTTAAGAAACAAAGATGCTAACCTTTGATCTGGGCTGTCTTTGGTAAGTGGTTGAGGAAAAAAAGTAAAGTGATGCACTCACCAAGACTGTATGTATTTTATTTTGGCTTTATTAAAGGAACATAACGCACGGAGCCAGACAGGGGCCAGAAGAGCTTTGAGAGGTGCTGCCATTTCAGGGGGAAAATAAAGTATAATCTCATTCATACAAGATTTCTAAAGACATCCAAGATTCTTCCTCGTTTGGAAGAGAAATTTGAAACCTTGTCATTTTACACTTGATTTAGTTAGAGTCTACTGACAGTCAATATATACAAAACCTTTGCCTTTTGGACAAGGTAGACTATGACCATAGCATCTTGGCATTTGAAAAACTCCACGCATCCAAAGATCAGGAACCCTTCAAATGTATCACTTGAATGAAGGGAACTGAACATTATAACATTTCTTTAAAGAATCAACCTGAAGAGACTGACCATTTTCACGAGCATCTTATTTCAGCTATTTTGAGTTCTTTGACCAGAATCCACTTGGCTCTGCTTCTTGATGGTAGATTTTTTACTGAACCGATCAACTTCACTGGTGAGTTCAGCTTCAGTGGCGTGATGTAAGCCCCAGAAAAGCCATAGGAATTGCTTCATGCCAAGGAATAATTTCCAAAAGGAAACTAACATCCCAGTTTCCAGTAACCATTTTTAGAAGAAAAACACCAACCATGCCTCATCAGGCTTGGTATACAAAGAAAAACAGGACAAGCCTTACTAAACGCTTCTAGCAAACACAGTCTCAGTGACTTCTCCTTTCCCTGTCCTGGGCTTATGGCGTTAGCTTCTGGATAAGGAAGCAGTGGGGAAGTTCTGAATTACCGCCTCATTTAATAACCACAGTTAAAAAAAAAAAAAAGCAGAATCTGATACTTTCAGGCAGGTAACTTTTGGGAATGAGATGTTTTAAAAAAGAAGACTTAGGGATGCAGCCATTTACTGGCTGAAATAAAGGAAATTACGAAAGAGTAAGTTCAGGAGATGAAAAACCGATGCCAGTTTGGCCACGCCACAGCCAAGAACGAAGAGTTGAGGTTGGTCTGGAAGACCAATGGTATGACAGGGAAAATGAAAATAGAGAATTAAACAACGCTAAGATAAAAGCGACAAGGAACAATGATGACGTAAATGGAGTGAATTGTGTGCACTTCTGTGTGAGCCAGCTGTGGAGAGCTTTGACCAACATACAGTGGTCTCAGGGATAAAGGGAGCACTCCTGCCTCAGACACCCAAGCAAAATCCCTGCCATGGCTCGCTGCCTGAGAGTCCACTAGGAAGGTGTAGTCCTTCTGCTATTTACATACTAAAACATGACCCTTGAGGAAGGAGACATTTAATTGTTGCTAGTTATTACAGCTTAGTGTGATTTTAGCTACTTTAAAGGGTCTTCCTCTTGAACAAAGTTCTTAGTGAAAAGAAGGTGGGTGGTTTTTGTTTTTCAGAAACGGACAGATTGAAGCTGGTATCTAAGCAGGGTGGGATGGCAGGTGAATAGGAGAAAGGAAGGAAGAAAGGACTCAAACATACAGAAGGGGAGATGGGAAGATCCCCAAGATCTCAAATACTTTCTAGTTTCATCCAAGGTCCACTCTGCCTTTACAACTAGTACGGTGAAGTCAGTCACTTATCACTACAGATCCTCTTCCAACTATGCATAGTTCTTAAGTGTTTCAGTTAAAAGTGTACACTCATCTAAACAGGTATTCTTTAACATCATGCCAAGAGAAGCTCTAGTTCCAGTGTGACACGCAGGAGGATACCGTAGGTAACACTGCTAATGTGCCTTACCGTTCATCTGTCCGACCCAAGAGCTGAGCCCCAGCACAGCTCCACAGGCGCCGCGTTTGGCAGGGAAGCCTGGAGCCTTTGTGCCGATTCCAAGAGGGGATCCCATCTCCAGGTGGGCGTAGCTCCTTGCCACAGTCCATGGCTTGATAAGCCCATCCCAGCCTGGATTTCTACTCTATTCACGGCCTCAGTAGGATACCCTTGTGCAATTAGCAACTTACACAAATGTGGGGTCCTGGGCAGACAAGGAGACTGGGAATACTAACCCCAGAGGCTTCTTTTGGTTTTTCACATTTAGTTTCTGAATGACTTACCGTGGGGAAATATCTTACCTCCTCAGTACCTTAGTTAGTTTCATCATTAAAAAATTTATTTATTTTTGAGACAGGATGTCACTCTGTTGTCCTGGCTGGAATGCAGTGGTGTGATCACAGCTCACTGCAGCCTTGAACTCCTTGGCTCAAGTGGTTCTCCTGCCCCTTCCCTGAGTACCTGGGAGTACAGGTGTGTGCTACCATGCCTGACTACTTTTTACATTTTTGTAGAGATAGGGGTCCCACTATGTTGCCCAGGCTGGTCTTGGACTCCTGGCCTCAAGTGGTCCTCCCACCTCGGCCTCCCAAAGCCCTTAGACTATAGGCATGAGCTACTGTGCCCGGCCTAGTCTCATCAGTAAGTAAAAAGCAGGTCTGCTTAATATCCCCCCACGAAACTAGGTGGATATGCAGCCAAAGTGTTTCATTCAGGACCAAAAAAGAAAAAGGGTCAAAAGCATTCTTTACTTCTATTAGACTAAAGGAAGTCTTATGCTTTGTTCAGCATTCATAATGGTTCACTTAACAAGTACAGTGATTGGTTAAGTTTTATTAAAATTTGCAGGATGAATACAGACCTCCAAATTGAAACAGTCAGCTTAGATACAGCAATTAGTGTTTTTCCCCAGCAGGACTGTAGTGTGTACCTTTCCAGATACTGGAATGTGTTTGAAAGACTTTCTATGAGTTTCTCCTAGTTAACAACCATAGTCTTTTTATCCACCTATCACTTAATATGCTCCTGTAAAATATTAGATTACCCACCTGCAGACAATATTTCAACAAAGAGAGAAATATCATTATTTTCCCTGAAATGACAATTATTATGGCAAAAGGTCAAGGAGCTACTACAGATCCCTGAAAAACCACGAAGGCTCAACAAGGATGAAATTTTCTTTCTTGTCAGCCCTAACCAAATATACAGCTGTTAAGGGAACCACCTGTCTCCTAGATTTCCCCACGCCAGCTGTAACTCAGGTCTGAAATGTACTGGATTCCTCTCCAGGTCAGCTGCAGCACCAGATGGCTCAGCAGTCTGATTCAGGGGCAAGCCTCCTCCCCTGCAGGCTCTGTTTCCAACATCGGTGTAAGGGGTAGTCACACATCTACAACACCCAGGGGCTGGCTCTTTGATGGTCAGTGGTCGCACCATGCATCAGAGGGGACAGTCCCTTGGGCTTCAGAATTCATTCTGGGAAACCCACCTTCCCTACTGTCCATGGAGTGGAGTGAGAGGCCTCGCTCCATGTTAGAGGTGACCGGCCAGGGGGCTCTGGGGATCAGCACAGGCTGATGCAGTCTGATGAACCAGGTGCTTCTGCAGGTCTCAACCCTCCCATTGCTGCTTAATGCTGGTAATTTCTGCTGCTTCACCTATTTCCACTTTGCTCATTTGACACTATCTAATAAGCACCTGCATGGGACGATTCATGCCACTGCTTATCTACTCATTCAGGAGCTTCTGCCAGTGGCAGTGGCCTAGTTAGAAAAGACAAACATGGTGTTCCATGCCCGGGTGACTTCAGGATATCCCTTGTTTCAGCGACCTCAACAATTCATTGTAATAATAAAAGCTTTGGTCCTTGAAGCAAAAAAAAAAAAAAAAAAAAACCCAAAACACAAAAAAACACCATCCTTCTTCATGTGCCAGTTTAACAAGCACCTCCCACGACTCCTCACCAGGACTTTTAAAATTCATAGGTCCATCAGGTCCAATGGAAAACTCGGGAGAGGTGAGCCCAGAACCAAATATCACAGTCTTAGGTCCATACAGAGCCTAGCAGTCCCACTAGTGATGACTTCTTCTGTTGACTACAAAAAGACTGTGCTGATTCTCTGTAACTTAGAGGGGAAATACACCAGATCTTACTGGCCACTAACACATCACTGTGATTCTGCTGTTCACTGTCAACATCTAGCAGGGCCCTTAGGAAAGGAACACAAGACAGAAAAAGCACAGAAGAAAGGTCCAGGGGCACAGAGCATTGTCTGTGAAGGCAGGCCCGGGGGGGCCTCACAGGGAGCATCTCGGGGCAGCCATGAAGCAGCAAGAAGATCCTGGACACTGAGAGAAGGAGACAGGTATGGAAAGCCCTGGTTCCCCATTTCCCAGCTGTCACCCTGCCTACCTCCCCAGGGGCCTGCTGCAGGGATGTGGATGCTTTTGACGCCCAGATTCCCTGAAATTGGTAAGTTTAGCAATACAGTTGCATATGTTCAGCTTGGAAAGCAATCTGTAATCAGTATTATAATTGTGAGCTATGATTATGCCATCATGGATCAGAAGTGGAGAGTGGCAATTCCCAGAGAGGCTGAGTGTGACATACTCCACACAGGGTAGCTGGTGTCTCGCTATATTTTTTCACTAATAGTTTCTGCTGTCATGAAGAGTTCCCTCAGGTATTTTGCCTGCTTAACTGTTAGATAATTTGAGACACTGGTATGAGATTTTTGCTGTTTCCAAAGATAAAGCCCCAAAGGCCAATGGTAGTTACACACACACACACACACACACACACACACACACACACACACTCTCTCTCTCTCTCTCTCTCTCACACACATACACACACACTCTCACTCACTCACACACAGTAGTGTGTTTAAAATCATAAAGAAACACTCAACTGTACTGAAAGACTTTAATTTTAAATGATCAAGTAGATTTATCCTCAAAGAAACCATCTGGATTATCACAAACCTTTTCAAACCACAGCTGTTTCCCTTGAAAATCTTTACTTGGAAACTCTGGGTAATAATACTCACAGGAAAAAAAAATGTACTGATATATAAAGATAACCAGTTTATATCACGGTTTGCTGTGAATCAAAGAGCAATAACGTATTTATATTTTTCAGTGTGGAGGTAATGTAGACACCACTCTAGACAATGATATGAGGTCAGATTTTAAACTCATTCTGCCCTTAAGAAAACTGACACCATACTCATTAAAGAAACTTCCTCCAAGGTTTCTAAACCAAGGTTTGATGCTCTGAGACACTGTTTTAAAAAGGCGGTTTTCTTTAAATTCCTTGACTCTAATATATGGACAAAGCAATTTTTGTTTTAAGAGACAGGATCTCACTCTGTTCCCCAGGTTAGAGTGCAGTGGTGCAATCATAGTTCACTTTAACTTCGAACTCCTGAGCTAAAGTCATCTTCTCCACTGTAGGCTGCTGAGTATCCAGGACTGCAGGCATGTGCCACTACACCAGGCTAATTTTTAAATTATTTAGTAGAGACTGGGTCTTGCTACATAGCTCAGGCTTCTCAAACTCCTCGTCTCAAGTGGTCCTCCTGCCTTGGCCTCCCAAAGTGCTACGATTACAGGCATGAGCCACTGAGCATGGCTGACGCAGTTTTAAAAATTACTTTCATGTTTTCTTTTTAAAAATTGGGATTTTAATTTTTGTTTTTTATTGACACATAATCTTTGTACATATTTATGGGGTACATGTGGTATTGTGATACATACATGCAAAGCGCAATGATCAAATTCAAGGCAGGAGGACAGTGAGTTGAGTTGTTTTTAATTATTGAAACACTGGCTCGTCAGCTGCAGGGCAGGAACTTCAGATCACATGCCAACGAGTCACAACGCCAAAGGCAGGAGCTGACCCCGCGTAGCAAGGCTGGTTTCAGGGAGGCATTCCTCATGACTCTTCTGCAGCCACCCGCCTGAAGCAAGGAGAAACTCCCCTGTGTAAGGTGTTCTCTACCATGGCAGGAGGGACCTTTCTGGAAAGTTCTAGTTCTAACTGCTAATTCTTTTTCTGATACCACCCTTCAGTAATATCTTCTTATGGGGAACTGTGGAGCATTTTCTGGAATACAAAATAACTATACAACTTGAGGGCTAATGAGACAAACTGAAAAATGGTTTCCTGCAATTCTGCGGCAAAGCTGGTCAAATAAAAAGTATTTCCGTTTCGGAGCTTATGGGGTTGGGCATGAGAACAGCTGTTTCCCTCCCTAAGTGGACTCTGCCCCAGGGTCAAGACGGGCCTGTCCACGTCTTCAAGGCCATTCGACATCTTACATATATGAAAACCTACTTTGTTTTCTAAATCTAAGCACATAAACACTTGAAAGCAGCCCCAGACTGATCATCTGATGACTGAGCTCTCTATATATTTTTTCTTTTTTTTATTAAACAACAAAGCAATAGCCCTAGCAGACAACTTCAACTCGAGTTATATTCGAATTCAGGACATCAAAAAAGTCATCATGTTGTAAATAGGAAATTCCTTTACACGCTGCCTTTGAATTCTAAGGGGCTGACAGATCAAGGGACGAAGGCCCTGGAAGGCTAAATTAGTGAACCCGCTATTTTTTTTTCCTGTGAATGAAGCTCTCTTTTGTATGTGCATTTGCAAGCAAAGCAGGTGCCTGCTTCACACAAGTCGAACTGCAACTGGGATCTTGGCTTCTTGTCAAGTCAGTAGCATGCAAGCCAGTTTAAGTCAAAAGAGGACACACTCCTCTTACTTGATTCCCCTTGCCATCTATTTTCTCCCTCAATCTTAGCCACTTGGAGAAGAATTTAATACCTTTTTTTTTTCCAGAGTCCAAAGGCTGTGGATCTAAGTGGGGCATTTTGTGCTCAAGCGAATCTGCCATGCACTACGGTTTCAACTCTCAGTCACTGGCTTTGGCCCTGCCAGGACCCCCTACTTTCACTTTCTACAAGGCAGTTAAAGGTTAAAAAAAAACCCATCAAAAATCCCCTGAATTAAAATTTTCAAGAAAACTTAGCATTAACCTTAAAAAAAAAAAAAAAAGAGTAGTCCTTTTTCCGTGGTAGAAGGTGATTTATACCCCTAGCATCTTGAGGCAAAAGGCAATGACAAAATGACATTCTTAGAAAGTACAAGGAGGCCTCAGGACATGATATGAGATCCTGGAGGGTCACCCATGTAGCCCTTTTTTTAGCCCAAAATCCAACCACCAAGAAGAACTGGCACTGCTAGGAAATGGTCACATCAGGGCACTATGACCGACTCTGGGCCCGTTGGTGTGAATTCCTGTGGCTGGACCTCCACGCAGTGCTTGCTTTCTAGGAGTGCTAGATACAAGTGAACAAATGAGGCCACCGATTTCACAAGCTCCGTCTAAAGCCCAGTCCCCTTGCCTCTCAGCTCTCTCACGTATTCCTGCCTGTAATTTTATTATCGTGGCTCCCCTGTGTTTGATGCTGAACGCAGATGGCTATAATGACATCAACTGAGAGATACAGGAACCAGGGGCATGAAAAAAGTACCCATCACAGCAAAAGTTAGCTAAAGGGAGAACCTCCAAGAAGATCAGACATATCTGTGTTGTACTGCTCCTCCAGCCTTTTACGCCTTTAAACTGAACACTATAAAAAATAAAATGAGAAGAAGTTAAGGTAGCGTTGCCTTCTCATGACTTCCATGCCTTTGCCTTTCCTGTGGAATCACAAAATTTTACAAGTAGCAAACGTTGGGAGTCGGGAAGCAGTACTCCAGCATAAAAGCCTCACAAGAAAAAGTTTCTCTCTGACCCCCTCCTGCCCTCCTGTCTCTCAGTCCCAGCCTCCCCTAAGCCCAGCCACAGAAACTGGAATCCCTCTCTTCCTCATAGCAGGTCACAGAAACCAGAACCCCGTTTCCCCAAAGCCAGCCATAAAACTTAAAAATACTGCTCTAACTTTCCTTCCGTCATTCTGTACAAAACTGGCCAGAAACAAATTCTCTGACCTACCTTGTTTGACTGTAGGTCATAAGACCCCCATTCCAGGGAAGGTCCTTCCCACACCCAGAAGGAAGAATCCTGCTCAGAGAGGCCAGGGAGAATGCGGACAGGCAGGCCTTGCCGAGTGTCCCTGCTCAGTCTGTTAGCGTTACGTCATGTCCTTTTTGTCCAATCACATTACTACATGGCTGACCATACTTTGTGGAACCTAAGTATGCAAATGAGCCTAGGCACACTTTGTTGGACCTAAGTATACCATTTCCCCTGTATCTTTGGGTCTGCATCCCGAAGGCGCCTGTGTCACAGAAACCGTGATCTCATCAACCTGCGTGCCTTTTCTCCTGTGGATGTGCCTCTTGTCAGGGACTCTTAGTGAACCTTCATAGGGCCAAGGGGAGGTTTTCTCTTGGTCCCTACACTAGTTCTACCAGCCTAACTCCCCACACCCTCCCATTTTACAGATGGGAAAACACCAGTCTACAGGTTAGCAGGCTGCCCCCAAGTCACACCAGGAGCCAAGAGCAAAGCCAAAACCATCCCAGCAACCACGAGTCGATGAGCACCCCTCAAAGTCTATGCCTCTCATAGGGAGAATGTCCCTGAACCACCTCTAACAGGGTCCACCTCACTCTGAAAGATCTGCTTCACACTCTGTTCATGTCACCTAAAATGTCTCTTTATAACCTAAACCTCTCATCTGAAATGTCTCTCCAACAGTCACCTAACACAACCCTTTTTTCCCCACCTAAAAATGGGACTTCCATAGCTAGAGTAGCAGCTACCCAAATACGAACGCCTCATCCTGTAGAAATCTACTTTTAAGGAAACCGTATCCAATTAGCTTAGTTTTATAGAGTTTGATATAATTGGCACCCTGATGTCAGCGGTATCACCATCTGGCCACTGCCTAGGAAGCTGACGGGCGATGCTGCCATCGGGCCTTCCGTATGTGAGTTATGTGGACTCCACGGTTTGGATTACCAAGTGCCATCCCAGGAATTCCCCTGGGAAACTTACACTGGCAGCGTGGGACCCGCACCGCCCTCTGGCCGCCTGAGGCAGTCGTGCGATGCTCCACCAACATCCTTCCTCACTTTCCCTGCAAGATTCCTCGCAGACAGCAAATCTGAGCCACCTTTTCAGCCCGGGAGGGAACAATGATCTCACTGGGGTCCCTGGCAACCCCATACCTTCCCTCCAACTCTCCATTTGACACGCTAGGACCAACTTTCTGTCAACTGGCCACAAGATCCAGGCCCCTGGCAGCCTCCTGTTGCCCTGGGGACTTTCCCTGGAGGAACCATCTTCTGTTATTTCCATGACCCCGTGAAGACTAGCAAGCTCCCTGTTTTCTGCGAGGAAAATGGAGTTTCTTTCTTTCCTTTTGACCTAGATTAAATCGACTGCATTTTCAAGCCTCTTGGGAAAGCAAGTGCAGCCTAATATGCACAGCTATGTGTATACTGTAACACTTCCTCACCCATGATTATGTAAATTCCACCAAAGCACGACACAGATAGAAAAGGTAACAAGGGCAAAATTGCTGGAATGTGCTTTTCCCCTTCTCTGGTTCTTTGAAATAAGACACTTATGTTAAACCATTTCAATTGTCTAATAGCTATGAAAGCATTGGAAGAATTTCAGCATCATCCTTTTTTCCCCCGATGGGACAATCATCGTGTTCAGCTGTTTCACGAACTCTCCCACCCTGCTCTGAGCATCAGAAAGGTAGGGTGACGTGTGCATTTGTCCAGGCCCCCAGGGGGTGACGTGAAGAAAGCAAGGAGTCTTCTTTGTTAGAGAAAACGTCACTTGACTATAGGAATGAAAGATAATAAGCTAGCCATAGAATTTATCACGCTTTGTATTTTTCAAAACCTAATTCCAAAGTAGTGAGCAGAACCATATTTTTCTCTGAAGGTAAGGAAGAATGAAAAACTTCAGGTTGAATGTAACAAGCCAACTAGAGGGTCTGGCTTCCCTAAAGTGGACGTTAATTGGCTCAACTCCCTGGCCAGCTGGTCTCCCTGGGGTCTCATGGTGAGGTGGAGACCAGTGGCTCAGCAGCAGGCAGGCCTTCAGGCTAACCAAACCAAGATCACTTCCCATACACCAAGGAGGCATCACGGGGTTAAACGCGGTAGGTGTAAGGTAGTTCTGTCTTGAATCCAATTAAGAAGGATTTAGTTTCTAAAGTACTGAGGGACCTCATTAGAAGAAAGTTTCTAATATAAGGTTATTTCATAGTATAGATTCTGTAGAGGATAGGATAGCATTATAATTAGGAGGCTAGTGGCAATGAGAGGTAGGTTAGAATCACATCTATTTTCCTACGATTCTCAATTCACAGCAAGCTGGGCTATTAGATGCTTCCAGGCCAGGCCGATCTCTCAAGTCTCCACTTCACTGCCTTGCTTTGACGATGCATCAGCTTGAATTCCCTGGACTAAGAATGCAGGCCCCTTATTGTTAGCCTGAATAAAACACAGCTCAGCTCTGTTCCTGAGCACCTATCAGTGGTATTCTAACTTATTACTCAAGGGTTCTAGGTGCCTCTGAACTCTCAAAAGGGTTATTTGCAATCCAAAGCAGAACAAAGGTTATTTTTTCTGGAAATGGAATAAGGACGTCATAATCTACTTCCTCACTCTGGTCTTTACAGTCAAAGTGAAATGGAGAGGCAAACCCTTTGGCTATAGAAATCCAAGGCTAGGCTGAAGTAAACATTTGTACTTATTGTAGATTGTTTTTTCTTGTTGGATATGATGCTGGAGAACTAATATTTATGGCCGTTATAACTGTCTTCACCCCACTCCGGCAATAGCTGAGTCGCATTTCATGTGTACGGAGATCAGAGACAGAGATATTTCTCCATACTGCCTGGAACAGCGGAAATCATTTAAGAAATTCACTTTTGGGGCCAAGGTGGTCCCTGAGTTCTCATGGCAGATACCATGACAGTTTTCAAAGTGATGCTGGATAGTCTTCTCATGCCCATTCATAATCCTTGCAGTGAGGCTGGTACAGTCATTCCTGATTAGCATCACAAGCTGATGACCTCACCTCCCTAAGCCTCTGGTTCTTAATAACATGGGGTTAGTGACAGCTATATTATAGATGTATCACATTAAGCCAAACAACGTATGAAAATGTTTAACACAGTTCCTGGCATGTAAATAAGAGTGCTTAGTAAATGTTAGCAGCTATTGTCCACTTTAAATTTAACATGTTTCTCCATAGAGCGCTGAGCCCTAACAGACACTATGCAGGCTCCCTTTGAGGCAGGTAAGGGATAGGTAGCTTTACTCCACTTTTATAACAAATGCAATACGGAAATGCAGCCGCGACAGGCCTGCCGCAGGCTGCGCTGCCGCTGTGCTTCCCTGGTAGGGAAGCCGCTTTTCTAAGTGATGACCACGAGCCCTTTAATAGGGCTTAGAATTGATTGTGTTGTCTTGCTTTCTGAAGTAATTACTTGGAACTAGCAGAGTTCACCCATTCGCATGGCCTTTGAATACTCTGAACATCCATTTACGTGACCTCTAAATAGTCAATCAATTTTAATGTAATCATTTTCATGACTTTCTTATTCAGGGTACAACAAAATTTTCCCCAACTGTATGCTCTATGATATGCCCCCAAGAGGCAAAAAATCCCTAAAACAGTTTGTTATTTGAAATAAAACCTACGGCTAAGGAGCACACCCAGGTTTCACTACTATACGAGTTTAACCAGATTGGTCACTTTCCTTTATCTCAGCAACAATAGAGGAAGAAAAAACAAAAGCAGTTAACACTGGGCTTCACAAGAAGACGTGATGTCCTAAACGCTGCGATGAGGACGGGGAGGAGGAGATGTCCGGCGGAAGCCTGGGGCACAGACCACCATGTGTGTCAGGCACCTCTTGGCCAAGGGGTTTCCAGCAGCTGGATTTCATTTTGAGAGTTCCTGTCACACGGGGATCAAGCGCAGGAGATCACTGCCGTCTGACTGTGGTTCCGCTGCCGTGCTCCTGTTCTCCTAAGGAATGCAGCTCTCTGCGGGTGGCTGCTACCTCTTACGCTTCCTGGGTCCCCCCACCGGCCCCCGACAAGGCATGGCGTGGTGCCAGGCACCGGAGGTTCCTACTGTATACTCAGGGGGTTGACTCTCACCGGAGCATTTTCACACCCCCTTCCCCTATAGCAATATGGTTTTCTTTTCAACTTGGAGTTCCATGAGCCTTTCTGATTCAGGTTCCTAGGGGTAAAAATGGTCCATGCAACACTCTCAACCCATTTCCTGTGAAATGACTCTGGTATAGTTACTTCTAGCCTAAGAGAGATGCGGTTTAATGGCTAGGTGAAATAGATTCTGTTTGATCCATTTAGTAAAATAATGTATACACAGTGCCAAGCCCAGAATCTGGCACAAAGAAAATACCGAAAAGAGGTTAGCTTCTTTTCTTCCTTCCACTGTACAATTTTAGGGGCAGTATGAAGGGTTTCTTGATATCCAGGGTGATCAAATAATTCATTCTCCAAGTGAGGACCCTTTTGAAAGCGGAGGGGATAATGTTAACGATGATTCTGGGACAAAAGAAGAAAACGGGGCTGATGTGGGCAAACCCTCTGCGCCCCTCCTCTTCTGTCCTCTCCCCCAGTCTCTCCACTCAGCCTCTGAGCTTCATCCTTTCAGTTGGAGGCTCAGATTCATATTAAAATAAAAATGCCTCAGAAGACACAACACCGCAATCTGTTTCCCAACCATTTACGCTGTAGTATCAATGAATCTTATGGCCACTAGGTTTGATAAGAGTTTCCATGGTGAGAACGCGGGTCATGGGGCAAGAGGGGATGTCCTAAAAGAAGAAGGATGACCCCCAAAATGGGGATGGCTGGGAAGAAAGTGACAAACTTCAGTCACATTGTAATTCTGAAAAGGGTCCATTCTAGATTTGACAGCGATCAACTTTAAATGCCAGACGGAAGACAGAAAAAAGATCTTAACCATCTGGTTTAAGTTCTTGCTTCCAGTTAAAGAAGTGGAGGCATGGAGAGGGGGTGTCTTGACAGAGTCGCCCCTCTGGTTCCCGATAAAGCCTGGCCTGATTCCAGTTAGGTGGACTCATCTTGCCAAACACTGCCTTACTTCTTCACCGCTCCATGTCTCTAACCAAAGAGAATGCTTGGCTTTCCATTTTTAGAAAATTAAATAAGTGTACCTGATTATGGATACTAAAAAAATGTAACACATGGTCCTTGTACGTGATGTGCTTGAAATCCAGCTGCTCACTCATTAGCAGGTAGGAAGAGGATTTATCTTCTTTGATCAAGAATCTTTCTCTGGAACACCTCAGAGGGAAAAGTAAAATATTTCCTTGATTTCAGGATAACAAAAAACTCTCCACACCACACACTGATTAGCAGCCACTGGGTTTTGTCTGAGGAAGAGCACGCCGCCCATCAATTGTTCCCATGCTGCATGCACGCTAGAGTAGTATTTGATCTAAAAACTTTCATTTTTCTCAATCATTGCCAATGACACTGATTCTATTAAACCTTCAGAAAAAAGAAAAGAAACACCCTGCAGGCTCCTATTTCTTCCCTGGATGACTGGATGAGGATGGATTTCTGAGTCTTTTTAGCCCTTTGGACTGTAGGGCCAATGCCTGTTTGGATTACACACACACACACACACACAGAGAGAGAGAGAGAGAGAGAGAGAGAGAGAGAGAGAGAGAGAGAGAGAGATGAGGATGGGGGTGGGAAGGCAGGCATGTGGTAGACCACTCTGCAAGGAGCTAAAATGCTCTAGGCAACGAGATGGTTTATAGGATAAAGCCTCTGCTGTACTCTCCTGCTTCCTAATTGTGCAGATAACAAATGATAATAATATTCTCCCACCACTAAGGGTCTCACTGTTAGTTCTAAATTATATTCGATAACAAGAAGATCAATAGCTAAGGCAAGTCTAAACAGTGGCTACCCCAAACACCTTTCCAACATGTGCTGGAACGCTTTCGATGTTAGTGAGAGCAAGTCTTAGCTCCCTGAATATAACTGTCACAGGCTAATATTAAAGTCGGTTTGATTCCCTGAGCACATTCCAAACTGTGGAAAAGGACTTGACCCATTTGACTGACTACTGGGTAGCTCAGAGAGGGCAGTCTAGGATCCAAATTTGCTACGAAAAGCTCACCCCACAGATACTCCACATACTGTGTCCATCTCACTGCAGCTTCCGAAACCATCGGGGACAACTTTTCCATCCTTTCTTTTTGGGATGACAAAGAATTTTTTGTCACATAAATAATTCAACTGCTGTTCACCCAATATATTTATAAGCTTTTCATTTCCAAGGTGGTAGGTTTCCCAAAGATTCAACATTATGACAGGAGGTGAAAAAAATGCCCCGAAGATTTCATTACTAGTCAATCTTATACGCTGACCTATGTGTTAAACAGCTGTCATTAGATGATAAATTCCAAGTAGTTGATATAAACCATAGAATCACCATCTGTCAAAATGAGTCGTAAACTTGGTCAACTCAATGAAACAATCTGCTACTCCAAGAAAAATTCAGGTAGGAACAGATGTCTTAGTGTTACATGGTACAGTCATGATCTTGTCTATGCAGTGAGGCCAAATTTTAAGACTGAAGAGAGTTAAGCATGGGTGCCAGGAGTTACGTTTCACCACCGAGTCCACCACCATTCCTTACAACACAGGATTCTCAGCAGAAAACTGCAACGAAGGTACCAAATACCTTTCTACAATCTAATCACCTCTTACAATAGCATTTCCCAAATGTTCCTGAAGATGATAATTGCCTGGAACATTGGCAAAAACATGGATTCTTGGAGCCAAGCCATGCCCCTCAGCTCAGGCTTTCCAGGCGAAAGGCCTGGTCATCTATAGGGCAGTGTTCCCTGGGATTCTTATCCTCCAGGAAGCCTGGGAAACAACACAGCAAAGGACAGCTGTTGCAGGGACTACCAGTGTCTGCTGAAGTCCATCCTCTCCTTCCTCAGGGCCAACACTGGAACAGAGCTCATGGTGAAACCACATTTGCCCCTTGCCACGTGACTAAAGGCTTCCTAAAGAAATACAAGTGGAAGTGACCTGTGCTGCTTAAGAGCCAGAGCTTTTAACAGAGCAGATATGAGTCCTCCATACTTTCTTTCCTCTCCTTTTGAATGGACACAGGTGACAAAAAAAGTAACAAAACACACACACACACAAAAACCAAAGAGATGGTAGAGTGACAAGATGGAGAAGCCTGGATCCCTGCATCACCACATGGAGGAAAGCCACCCACCAATATCCATAAGGGTTCTGTGTTTAAAAGTCCTAATATATTTTTGGGTCTGCGAAAATACTGACAGTTAAACCTATCCTAATACCTACAGATTAAAAAACACACACAAGGAAAATACAGGTGAAACAGTAACAATTCTGCCCATGTCAGTGCTATCTCTGCCTCACACTTCAGGGGACTACCCAACACAGCTACAAGAAAAATGTACTAGCAGGATCAAAGTGAGTATGTTTTAGAATTTCGTTTCAGAAAATTAGAAGTTGGTGAACTGCTGTAGAGAAGTCAGGTAGACAAAGCCATTGAAGCACTGAAACCCACATTTACACTTTCTTGATGAGAACACCTTTTTGAGCAAACCACTTGGTAAAACTGACCCGTTTGAGAGAGGAATATACTTCCCGACAAGAATATCTGACATTTCATCCTCACTGATGAACAATTCTCAAATTTCATTTGCTCAGAGGGAAAACAACTTGTACGGTGCGACTCAGCCCACAATGACACAGAAGTTAATTTCCGTCTTCTTTTTCTCAATCTTTTCTCCCTTCCTTTTGCTAGCAGGTTTCAAAACGCTGACCCAGTAGCTGAGGCTTATCTCCATCCCCTTGGACTGCTTCTCCAACCTACCAGCAGCATCAAATGACAGGCAGGCCTATGCAGAGGGGCACAGAAGTCTGACCTGGAAATGTCTTGCAGAGATCTGTGCCCACTGGGCAAGGAAAAGAGGGAGACCCTGCACCATGTTCCTGGGTAAGTCATGAGCCAGCAAGTGGCATTTAAGTCCTCTTGGTACCCAGGTAGCACTGCCATCATTTAAAATGCTTTCCAGGTATTCATGAAAATAAGCACATGCCCACATTCTGCAGAGTATAAGAAATATCAAAGGGATGTGCTATGAAAAGACAGAGAACTGGTATTCAGTACATTTAACCAATTCACTTCTTCATCTCCCTTGGTTGGGAATTCATATCTTTGCTGTAGGAACATGCTCTTAGGCTTTTAGCATTTTGGTACGGGAACAAAGAAAAATTAATAGACAGAATGGAGGCAAAGGTGAGGCTGAATGTGAGATACCTACCTATAAATATGAATGCAACCCCTAACAAATTCGTAGGCAGACTGAAAATCATGTGGGCGAACTGGTTCTTGAAAACTATTTGTAAAACTCCTCTAGTGGGCCCAAAGAGTTAATACACTCCCCTAAACCTCTTCTCTTCTCATTAAGTTGAACTCTGGAAAGTTTGGGTGAATTTTCACATCATACATTCTCAACCACAACTAGAAATCCAGAAGGCGTGTCAACAAAATCTGTCCCTGGAAGATCTGCCCTGAAATCTACTCTCTGGAGCACCCTGCCACGACCCAGTTTTGTGACATCAATGCCGGGGCATATCTGGGTGTTAACTGCTCTGGAAAACTCCCGGGTGAGAAATTCAGGCCATCCAATTAGGACACTTCCAGGTTACCTCTAGCTTAAACACTCTGACTGGTTTTATCTTATTAGTCTTCATCACATCCCTGTTCTAGGCTAAGCTTTCCCTCAGCCCTGCTGCTGCTTTAGAGAAGCAATGGACAGATTTTGCATAGAATAAAAAAAATTCTTAATTTCCAGCCATCGAGGCTAACTTCTTGCCTCTCAGCAGCTTTTAAAATATTGATGGCTTTTTCCTCATAACAGACAAGCTGAGTGGAGTCTGGAGGGCCTGCTCTTAACTGTGACTAGAAATGAATTTCATGGAATTTACCACATTTTTCAAGAGAAGGCACACTTGGGGGAAGGGGTGGTGGCAGAGGGCAACATCTGACCATCTTCCTTTCCAGCCCAGACCCTTCTGATTCAGGCTCTACACAGACCATACCCAACCTGCGGGCCTTCTCTGCTCGCAGGTGTGACATCTACTTCCAGCACTTGTGGTCAGGTAGCAATAGCAAGGATGGCCCGGGCTCAAGGAACAACAGAGTGTCTGCCTAGAGGGCTCAAGATTTGTTTGAAAGTTATTAGCTCCATGTTCAAGAGGGGGGAAAAGCAGGCCTAAGAGATAACCAGCAACCGAATCGGGGAGTAGAAGATAACATCGCAGAAACAAGGTGATGCATCTCATACTGTCTTCTTAACTGAATGGCTTCTAACAAGTCTCCAATTAAAGATGTTGGTCCCAGAGATCATGGTCTTGGGTTCTAATAAAACTGTTCATTTCTTCCTTGACAATCTCTCGCCACTAGAGAACAGTCATACAATTGTATGCCATCCTCCTCTCAGGTCCTACCAACCCCTCCTCCTAAGGTATCCATGGTTACCTGGAAAGTCAACTACTCTTGGTCTATACAAGGCCAGGACTGCCCTGCAATAAAATCCATTGTTTTATGTTTTCCCTATTAACTGGAAAGCTCATGTTCTACTTACAGTTTGAAGACAGACTGTGATTTCATGGGCAATCCTTTATATACAAGATGTTGAGTCTTGGGTTTTCCTCAAAACATCACTAACAGTCTATAGATTGCCACGAACATCTTTGTAAACAAGAATAATTATCCCTAGAGACTACCTAGTCTATGCAAAAAAATCTACAACGCTTTTCCTTTGGATGAGCTTTGTACAGAATGCAAGTCTGAAGCAAACCACTTGACCATGCCCTTCTGGGTCTCCTTCAATAGCTGGCTGTCAAAGTAGGATGCTAAGAAAGGGACACTGGTCTAGATTGCTTTTTAAAACCCACATTCTGTAACTATGGCTATGTTCTGACTGCTTTCAGAACAAAAGAAAACTGTAAGCATCAATATCCTTATTTTCAAGAGGTCTACCTATGTTCAGATGAGTACATGAAAGTGTAGTCTAAACAAGTTTACCTACAAACAAAAAATTCAAAATATTAAACAGAAAAAGATGTTGGCAACAGATTAAGTGTTCTGCCTCCCAGGGCTTGCTCTAAAGCTTCCAGACTCCTAGGAGGTCTGACCATCACAACCCATGTTTTCCCTTCAGAAGATAACAAAATAGAACTACCCAATTTGGGAAAGGGCTTGCTGAATGCAGTTTTTATCAGTCACTGCATTCGGCTCCCATATTAAGGACAGCAGAATAATTATTTTTGAAATTGTACACTGCCACACGGAACAGAATAAGCTGGAACACCAGGAGATAATGGACTGATTACACAGCTATCCTTTTAAACATTTCATCAGTCTTAGAACAGCAGATAATACAACTATTTCATGTGTACCAGTGGGTTCCAGATTAATCCTGCAGCGTTAAAAGCCGTGGAACCACAAATCAGCTGATTCCAATTTAAAGCAATAAATCACTGGTTAATGTTGACACAGTTATATGGGGTCTGGTTACCAGGTGACAGTTGCTGTAAGTTTTAATCCAACTTCTCTATTGAAAAATACACTATCTTGCAACTGCCTTGAAGCTGCCACAAAAATACATTTTTAAAGGAGTAATAAACAAATATCAAGAAATAGCCTTCATAAAATTGTCAGTATCAAAACGCTACAGAAGAGTCCTCATAAAGAAATGCAGTCAGCAGTAAATATATACTAGCACACTAAGCATGAGGAGACAGAACAGATTTTGCATACATGCACCCAAAATGAGATCCCCATTTGGGAATAAAGATGGAAGAGTTTCTCCCTCCTCCCTCTGCCACCGACCGTGTAAGTCAAACAGAACTGAGATTCTGTTCAGCGGATCAGGCGGGGGAGCCCAAAGGACAGCCTGTGTTACTTCCGTGTTGGATTGTTTAACAGAAAAGTGGCTCACTGAGATAGCCCATAAATGCTGCTGCTGTTCTCACTGGAGGTATGAGGCAATCGGGACACTCAACTGTATTCTGGAGAGTACAGAAAATGATTTTTGTTCTCTTTTTCCCCTGTGACATTTAATAAGGGACCATTTGCTACCCTAGTATCTGTTTATTTTATGGGAACTGAAACTTGAGATGAAACTGGATGCTACTTAAGCCACAAAACCTTTTTTACCCATATGAATGGACAGGAGAAGGAGTGAGCATCACAATGGGAGGCTCCTGGATTCACCAGTTCCCTGGTATCACGGACAGAGTGCAGAGTCACAGAGGGCAGCTTCAGTCCCAAGTCTCCCAGCTGAAGCAAGTCACTGACCACGTTCAACCAGAGATTTCTTTTCCGTGTAAAATGAAGAAAATGAAGATGCTCATCCCTACCCTGCCTACAGACTCAACCAACGCAGACAATGAATGCGAGAACAATGGGAACCCTTCTTTCTTTCTTCTTTCTTTCTTTCCTTTCTTTCTTTTCTTTCTTTCTTTCTTTCTTTCTTTCTTTCTTTTCTTTCTTTCTTTCTTTCTTTCTCCTTCCTTCCTTTCTTTCTTTCTCTCTTTCTTTCTTTTTCTTTTGAGACAGAGTCTCGCTCTGTCGCCCAGGCTGGAGTGCAGTGGTGCGATCTCGGCTCACTGCAACCTCCGCCTCCCAGGTTCAAGTCATTCTCCTGCCTCAGCCCCATGAGCGGCTGGGATTACAAGCGCATGCGCCACCACGCCTGGCTAATTTTTGTATTTTTTTGTAGAGACGGGGTTTCACCATGTTGGTCTGGCTGGTCTTGAACTCCTGACCTCGTGATCTGCCTGCCTTGGCCTCCCAAAGTGCTGGGATTACAGGTGTGAGCCACTGCGCCCGGTTCTGTTTTGTTTTGTTTTGTTTTTTTTAAAGAGAGAGGGTCTTGCTCTGTTGCCAGGCTGGAGTGCAGTATAACCACAAACTCCTGGGCCCATGCTGTCCTCCCTCCTCAGCCTCCTGAGTAGCTGGGACCACCGGCATGAACAATCATGCCTGGCTAATTTTGTTATTTTTTTTGCAGAGCTGGGGGTCTCGCTGTATTGCCCAGGCTGGTCTTGCCAACTCCTGGGCTTAAGTGATCCTCCAGCCTTGGTCTCCCAAAGTGCTGGGATTACAGGTGTGAGTCACCACGTCTGGCCTCAAAACATCCTGTTAATAGATGAATTCTATGCCAATGTAAGTTATTACTGAACAGGTATCTATGTTCTTTAGCGTAAAAACCCAATCCACCACAGCAGGAGCTAAGCTGCCTGCAGCAAGTTACTCCCCATCTTCATTTTCTTCCTCGAGAAAGACGCTGACGCTGCTCACGTGCTTCCCAGGGTTACTGTGGGACGACTGGTCTAAATGACTCCAAATTACATATTCAGGGATTTATATGATAATACAGCTGCTAGCCAATAAAAATAGCCTAATTATGAATTCAAACTATATGCAAATGCAAAGGATAAAGTAATTCTCAAGGGACCAGTTTTTTTTTTTTTCTCCCCTGCCTGAGGTGCTCTTTTACCATGGACGTGGACAAAGGAGGTTTAAATGAATACTTTGTTTTGCCATGTTCAAAAAAAGAGTATTAATATTTTGTGACTGCATCTGTGAATGAAGACACTCAAAAAGCCATGTTTCCAACTTAGGTTAATAATAAGGCTATTTGTCCACCCACTCTTCGGCATTGCTGCAATATTCCTGGCCTCAAGTGGGAGGCCACGTGGAACAAGGCCTCAGAAAACAAAGGACATGCAGCCTCCCTGAGCCAGTTCCTATAAAACACCACCAGGCAGGCCACAGCCTTGACTCTCTTAGTGGCTGCAACTCTCCTTTTCCCTTCTCCAGCAAGCGTACGGTTTGTGACGTCAAGGTCTGCCAAAAGAGCTTGGGTCACGGTACCTAGGTTATGGCAAAATAATCTTCCTTCTAATTCCAATCAGACGCCAGTCAAAACTCTGAACACAACTGTTGCCTTGTCCTGTTTCCCTTAGTGACACTGCCTTAGTGACATTGCTTTCTACAAGAAGCACTGCCATCCGCCTGGATGGATGTGGAAGGTTTGTGTCTACGATTAGGAACTAGCAAGGGATGAAAGAAACGGTACCTAAGTCTGGCTTCAAGGACCTCATGACTTCATGTAGCAAAAGCAGAAGTCAGGGAATACCTCATTTTACTCACTGCCTTTCAGAACAACCCACTGCACACTAAACCTCCTCTTGGTGCCTGCTGTGTTTCTGTTCTCCTTGGTGCAGAAAAATGAGCCAAATAGCAGTTAACACTCTCAGACAGCACTTGGAGGATAGTCTCGCAAGAGGACAGTAAAAGTGCCAAGTGTGACATTACTCTGTTGTAACAGAAGGAGAAATATTATCACACCTAGAGGTGTGATAGGAGTTTAAGTTCATGGTCGAATGCTGACGATGAGTATCATAGATTTCTACAGCTTCCAAAAGGGCATTCAGAAGCTCCTTCTCAACCATAGAGGGAAAGACATTACTGTCTCTGCTACACTGAGATGGGATGAGTGCCACAGGATGCTTAAAAGCTGCCTGTTAAAAATTCAAATTCAGGGCAGAAGCCACTGAGATGAAGCTCCCCTCCACTCCTTCCTGAGATCCTGGCTTGTCCAACAAAGACGCATCGGGATTTTTGTAACCCAGATGGTACTATAAAATATGAGGGATTATTGCTTTCTGTGAAACAGCAAATAAAAATTGAGTTGAACTTCACAATGTTAAGTGCTACTGTGAGCATTCGCAAGCAATGTCACTTTCTTTCAGATTCAGAAACTGCTATCTAACTCAATTTCTATTAAAATTTACCATTATATTCACAGTAAAATAGCCGAATATATTAACATGTCACTGATCTTTGCTGATAATAACCAAAATGGGGAGGGCTAGCAAGAGTGCATTTCAAGGCTACGGGCCATCTTCCCTTTGTGCAGCTCGCTTTGCCTTTCCTCCTACCCTTCAGTGGTCAATGTGTGGACCCTGAATGTTCAGGACAGCTTTGCAGGGAAAGGACTTACTGGTTCTAGGGGACTGTATGAATGCAAAGGTGTACACATGTTCGTTACTGGGCAAAGACCAATGTTTTCATTTAAAAATTTTGAATTTTCTCATTTTTCATTTCAAAATGAAAACTCAATTTAAAAAGTAAAAATAGGCTGGGTGTGGTGGCTCACACCTGTAATCCCAGCACTTTGGGAAGCCGAGGCAGGTGGATCACGAGGTCAAGAGATCGAGATCATCCTGGCCAAGATGGTGAAACCCCGTCTCTACTAAAAATACAAAAATTAGCTGGGTGTGGTGGCGTGTGCCTGTAGTCCCAGCTACTCAGGAGGCTGAGGCAGGAGAATCGCTTGAACCTGGGAGGTGGAGGTTGCAGTGAGCTGAGATCATGCCACTACACTCCAGCCTGGCGACAGAGTGAGACTCTGTCACAAAAATATATATAAAATAAAAAATTTTTAAAAAGTAAAAATACTGTGAAAAATTCTAAAACATGAAACGCACCAAAATGAGAGTTTCAACACTGTAAGTCTTGTCCTTGAACTACCAAATTCCTAGCAATGTGACCACTATTTAAACTAAATCTCAGTTGTCTCATCAGAAAATGAAGATGACCGGACCTCCCCAGCCTCTTTCCCAGGTTATACTGAGAACCAATACTTCATAAATCTATAAACATGAAGCGTCATATGGGCACTTTTTTGAATTTCTTGGAAAAGCTATTCCATTTACAAAATACCATAAACCATGCATAAGATCAAACAGTCTTCAAAGATCACATTCTTTTGGTTAAACCTGCATTATTATGTTCTCACTACGAAACCTATATTGGCCCCTCAATGGGTACTATCCTTCTGCTGTACACCCGGCCCCTAGGTGGGTTTAAGTCTCTTCCTCCTTCCCACACACTGGAGTCCTCAGGTGGAATGAACAGGAATGCTGGCTCAAGACAGCCCCAGCCCCAGACGGAGTGGGGAGGGCATCAGCAGGAACACAGAACTTACCCATAATTCAGTTACGTCTCATTGTACAGAACCTTCTTTGGCTAACACAGTTTGTGGCGAAATTTTCTTCTGTACTCATTTAAATGTAATTTCTGCACTTGTCACGGTGAAACTTTGGAGTTATTCTCTACACATTCACAGAAATGTGTGATTTCTTACAGGCTCCCAGTTCTATGATTTTGAGACTGCTATTGATGGGTGAGCTGGTTAATTTCACTCTTTCTCCTCTTGCATTTGGCACCTAGGGGTTTTCCAACCAGGAAGCAATGACAGCCCTGGAGAAGCTTGGCCCAGATCCTCATGGTGCCTGAGAAAATCCAGCTCTCCAAAGGAAGGACTATGATGACATTCCACGAAGTCACTGGAAGCCCCACGCGAGGCTGAAGATCTGGGGGTGTTTGGGTTCAGGGCTGTGAACTACCATGACTAATTCTTGCTAAATGACCTGCAGTAGTTGTTGGAAACAATGTTAAGAAAAAAAGTCATGAAGATCTTTACATGAAAAATGTGAAAATTCACAGACACTGCCAAAGTCAGTGGAGAATGTAATGAGAGTAACACCAAACGAAATTTACCAGAGCACTCTCGCAACGTCCAGCTTGGTCCTTCTCAACCTTGGCTGCACGTTAGAATCACCTCAATACCTTCAGGTGCCACCTGGGACCCAGCAGGGGAATTAAATCCAAATTCCTGAGGGTGGGGTTGGGACACTGGTATTTCTCTGTTTCAATTCCTCTAGGTGATTCTAACGCACGCCAGGGGTTAAAACCATGGCATCCCATTTGAGTCCCATGTGAACTCGGTGAAAAGAACTCTGTGAGGGTGGGCAACTCACCCAGGTCACACAGGAGATGAATACTGTCCAGATCGGATCTCCACGTCCCTCACTGCTTTCCAAAATAGCAAGGCTGGCTTGTTATTGTCATGAGACTGCCATGGGGACAGCTGTTATGGGGAGGTGAAGGAGCAGGGTGCCTGACTTCCCAGGAAACCCAGCTCTTGCACAATCAAGTCCTTCCATGTTAGCAGCTGACGCTGTGGTCTCCCCTCTATCGGTCAGTCCAGGGTGGCAGGGCTGGGCAGCACTGTGGTGGCACACAGTGCCATGAGACTACTCAGCATGGGAAAAACAGCTTCCTGGGAGTCAAAACAGCTGGTGCCCTTGAATGTCACTAGAATAAAAGAGGCCATGCCCTTGGTTCCTCCAACTAACTACCCACAGCACTGCCTCCCTCCAGCCTTGCTGGGATCAAGGGGATGCTCACTCGGGAGGCCGAGTTTCCTCTGCGCCTCTTGAAGTATTTTGGGGCTGTGCTGGAAGAGCCCCATCTCAACCATGACTGAACGCAAGCACCCTCCTCAGTAGGTATGAATCTCACAAGATCCCAGCCTGTAGGGGTGCACAGCTGAGCAGGTGGGACAGCTGGCTCCTTAAACCTGATGAGTGTGCTCAGGAAGGGGCTGAACATGGAGAAGAGCAGGTGACACTTCCTCAATACTAATTGGCTATTCTGGGAAAACAGCAATAACCCATAAAATGACACTGACTTGTCAGGAAAATTCCCTGGGGTTGCCAGGTTCCTAAGAAGTAGAGTGGACACAGGGCGGGGCCTCTGCATGGGAGGGCAGGGAGGGTGGAAAACAGGCTTGGGATAAACAGCATGAGCATGCACACGGCCCCTCCCTCCTCCTTCACTGGGGATCCGTTTCTCCACACTCAGATTTTGGATCATCGTTTTGTTCAGAAATCTAAACACCAATGAGATAACCATTATGTAACTATTTTTCACTTATGAAGAAGTCCAGTCTGCCGACTGGGAATAAGCCTCATCTTCTGCAGGGAGGAGGCCAGGACGTGTAACATCCTGGGGAGGCCACAGTTAAATGAAACCCAAGGGCAGGCCATGGGGTGCCCCAGGCTCCAACCTCCCCTGCTACTCAGTGACTTCAGATTTCAAGGTGGTGTCCCTGTTGTATGCCCCCTTGATAGGTCACTTTCCCGAGACCACAAGGTTGGTAGCTGACGCCCCACAGCACGTCCTGGTCCAGAGGTCTCCTCCCCACTGCAACACCAGGAGACACCTCTCCGTTTCATTGCCTGGGGTACCTCCCACACAATAGAGGACGGGTACATGTGTGATGGAGCCCCTTATAAACACCAGGACAGAGGCATCAGCTTCAACTGGCTGAGATCAACAGAGCATGGCCCCTTCCCACACTCCCACTCCTGCCCATTTACTCTCCAAGCCCCATAGCTAGAGAGAACCATCTAAGTAGGAAGCCTCTCTGTAAAGCTGAAAAGGGACAGAACTAGATGAACATGAGTGTCCATTGTTACAGGCACTGAGCCAGGTGCCTTTCAATACATCAGGCCCCATTTACAGACAAGAAAACAGATTCAGAGAGGACCAGCAGCTTGCCCAACCTCAGGGAACTGGATTTAAACCCTAATTTACTTCTAAGTTTTCTGTACACATGACCAGGATGTCCATGAAGGTCAGCAGCATTAAATACATTGATGCTGCTGTGCAACTGTAACCACTGTCCATCTCCAGAACTCTCACATCTCCCCACACTAAACCTCCATCCCCCTTACACTCTTACTCCCTGTTCCCTCCTGCTCCAGCCCCTGGCCAACCACCAACCTATTTTCTGTCTTTCTGAATTTGACTGCTCCAGGTAACTCAGAAGTGGAATCATTTCAATGGCTTTTTTTTTTTTTTTTTTTTTTTTTTTTAAAGAAAAGAGATACAAAACCCAGCCACTGAGAGTCAAAATTTAGTTTTGAGCTTTCTCCTTTTTTGTATGCTTTCAGTATTTCAGGGAGATTTTCGAGGACAGAAGCTCTCCTTAGCACTTTGAGGGTACAGCCTACTTTGTGAATTTTTTTTTTTTTAAAAGAACAATTCCTTTGAGAATCTTTCCTACTGGGAGTTACTGCTGTGATTAAACAGCCATTTCTTGAACCACGTACCATGCTTGGTTGTGGGAATACAAAGACAGCCAAATGAAAATCTCTGCCTTTAGTGTTCATTTTTTTTCAAAGAGAAAAGGGCAGTTCTTGTTTGCAAACTGACACACAGAGAAGAAAGAGGAGATAAATCTAGCTAAGTAGGGAGTAGTGCTGAAACATCCTGCAAACAATTTAATTTTCCCATTACTTTTAGCCTAAGATATTCTTTATCATCGGGCCAAAATTTCATCAATACCTAATTTGATGTTCATTCCCAAGACTGCCAGTAAATGTGTACTGAATGGGCATGTATGGATTGCCTACTGTGTACGCACTGTAAATTTCTAAGAGCATGTAAATGAGACGTGAATCCTGTCCTCAAGGGATTTATAAGTGGTTGGAGGAGATAAGACATGTGCATAAATAAGTTAACACAAGGTAGAAAGTGAAGGCTTGAATCAAAGAGGTGCACATAAATCTTTACAGGAGTTTGCAGAAAGAAGATAATTTACAACTTGCAAATGTGTTAAAAATGTGCAGGAAATGGAGAACCTGAACAAAGAGAAGCTGTCAACAAAAAGAGATGGAAGTACAGAAATTCCAGTTAACAAATCTGTAGGAATGGAAATGAAGGTAATGAAGGGAATGAGAGGAGAAAGAACAGAATGGTTTATGGAAGACCTGGAAAGCATGGCCAAGGAATCTGGGCTGTATCTGAGTCAACGTGTGCCACTAAAGGTTTGCATACCATCGCTGGTGCTGGAATTCCTCTGGATAAATAGAAGGCACTGTGAGAAAAGAACCAGGGACAGGAAATATAATTAAGAGTTGCAGACTTCTGCCTCTGGCCTAGATGGACAGTCCTCTTGCCTGAAAACAGCTCATGGCCTGAAAGAGTTTCCAGGCCACAGCACAGGGAGCTGGACACCAGGCAGGACCCAGTATACTCCCTGAGCTGAGAGTGCGAGGGCCATTAGAATTCACCGTAAAGAGTAGCAAAGAGGAATGAGCTGCAGAGAGAGAGTAGTAAGAAGAGGCAAAAGGGAAGAACAGGTGAGGGGAAAAAAACCCTCAGTGAGATTAGAGACCTAAACCAAATTTTATCAACGATTACATTATATGTTAATTATCTAAACACTCCAATTAAAAGGTAGAGCTTGTCGGAGTGGATTCAAAAAAAATTAAGATCCAACTACCTGCTGTGTACAATAAATGCACTTTAAATAGAAAGATACATATATGTGAAGAGAGAGAATGTAAAAATATATATTATTTAACAGGAGTCAAAGAGATCTGCAGAGGTCCCTCTTGAGTATCCAGTGATGATCAATGCACATGAGTGAAGAAACTACCAGACAAAGAGCCCTCCAAAAAGATGAAAGGCTTGGAATAGTGCCTGTCCTTACCAGCCAGACCGAAAATACTCACAATTCACGGTCTTGGGTAGAGGACTAGGAGAGGCCTCACTTTAGAAGTAGAAAATAATCATACAGATGCTAGAATTAGCAGACAAGGACTCAAAAAAGTTATTTATCGCTGTATTTGGTATGTTCCACAAGACAAGCAGAGACCTGGAAGATCTAAGAAAGATCCGAAACGGACTTCTAGAGATTAAAAACTACAATGTCTGAGATGAAGAAAACACTGGATGGGATTAACGGCAGATTAAACACTGAAGAAAAGATGAGTGAACTGTGTTTCAAAATGGAATAGAGAAACAGAGACTTTAAAAAAGGAAGAAAAAAACACATTAGTGAGCTGTAAGGCAACTTCAAATGGCCAAATATACAAGTAATCTGAGTCTACAAGGAGAGTTGAGAGAAAGCAGACATTAAAAATATCTGACAAAAGAAAGGGATGAAAGTTTTCCAAATTTGATGAAAACTGTAAGCTCACATGTCCAAAAATCTCAATGAACTCCAAGTACAAGAAATACAAAGAAAACCAAACCAAGGCACATCATAATCAAATTACTCAAACCCAGTCACATAAAGAGAAAATGTTAAAAGCAGACTGAGGAAAAAAAAACAGAAGGAGAAGGATGACATCTGAAACAATACAAGTGAGAAGACAGTGAAGCAATGTCTTTAACATACTGAAAGAAAAGGAAAATCCTGTCCACCTAGAAATCTATAGCCAGTAAAAATATACTTCAGTCTGGGCGTGGTGACTCACGCCTGTAATCCCGCCACTTTGGGAGGCCGAGGTGGGCAGATCACCTGAGGTTGGGAGTTCGATACCACCCTGACTAACATGGAGAAACCCCATCTCTACTAAAAATACAAAATTAGCCAGGTGTGGTGGCACATGCCTGTAATCCCAGCTACTTGGGAGGCTGAGGCAGGAGAATCACTTGAACCCAGGAGGCGGAGGTTGCGGTGAGCTGAGATTGCACCACTGCACTCCAACCTGGGCAACAAGAGCGAAACTCAGTCTCAAAAAATATATATATCTAGATCTAGATACATACTTCAAAAAAGGGGCAAAACACAAAAGGTGAAAGACACACAAAAGGTGAAAGGATTTACCACCAGATGATTGGCTGCCCAAGAAATATTAAAAGAAGTCCTTCAGGCAGAAGGAAAATGATGCCAGAAGGAAATATGGATCTACACAAAGGAACGGAGCACGGAAGTATTAACTACGAGCATAAACAGGCGAGATAGTTTTCTTATGATGGAAATATCTATAAAAGAAATTTGGCCAATTAAACAAAATTGTAACAAGGTATTGTGGATGTATTTTAACATGTAAAAGCAAAATGTAAAAACAGCAACAGCATAAAGTCTGCGAAGGGAGAAATGGAAGTAGATTCTCATGCTATACATGAAGTTGCATACTATCACTTGAATGATAAAGACGTGTAACAAATACTCTAAAACAACAAAAAAGAGCTATAACTAGTAAGCCAACAAAGAAGGTAAAATGAAAAAGTAATTTGAAGTAATAAGAAGAGGCAAAAGGGAAGAACAGGTTGGGGGGGGGGCGACCTTAGTGAGATTAGAGACCTAAACCAAACTTTATCAACAATTACATTATATGTTAATTATCTAAACACTCCAATTAAAAGGTAGAACTTGTCTGAGTGGATTCAAAAAAATTATGATCCGACTACCTGCTGTGTACAATAAATGCACTTTAAATAGACAGATACATACACGTGAAGAGAGAGAATGTAAAAATATATATTATTTAACAGGAGTCAAAGAAAGCTGAAGTGGCTATACTAATATCATAATAATTTCAAATCAAAGGATAATCCCAGAAATAAAGGTCATTTCAAAACCACCAAGGAGTCAATTCACAAAGAGAACACAAAAATTCTAAATATCTATTCATCAAAAAAACAGAACTTCAAAATACATAAGGCAAAAATAGAACTCAAAGGAGAAATACACAAATACACGAGATTTCAATAGCCTTTCTCAATAACTGATAGAACAAGTATTAATATCCAGAAAATCAGTAAAGATACTGAAGATTTGCAGAACACAACTCAATCAAACTCACTTTTGTAGAACACTCAGTCCAAGAACAACAGGATACCTGTTCTTTTGAGATGCACATGGACTGTTTACCAAGATAAGTCATATTATGGGGCATCAAACAAGTCTCAATGAATTTAAGAGTTCTTAAGCCATACAAGGTATATTTCTTGACCAAAAGGACATTTAATTAGAGATCAGTAACAGAAAAAACTCCCATACCCCTCTCAAATACAGGTTGAGATCCTTTATCCAAAATGCCTGGGCCCGTAAATGTATTGGATTTTTGCTTTCAGATTTTTGAATATTTGCATTATACTTACTGGTTGAGCATCCCTTTCCTGATCCAAAATGCTCCAATGAACATTTCCTTTGAACATCATGTCAGTACTGAAAAAAATTTCAGGTTTTAGAGCATTTCAAAGTTTGGATTTTTGGATTAGGGATGCGCAATCTGTATTTAGAAACTAAATGACACATTCTGAATAACCCACAGGTCAAAGAAGAAATCAAAAGAGAAATTAGGAAGTATTTTCAACTGAATGAAAATGAAACTACAGCATATCAGAATTTGTGGATGTAGGTAAAATGGTACTTAGGAGGAATTATATACCATTATATACTTTCATTTGGAGAAAAAAAGATTTCAAATCAGTAACCTCAGCTTTCATCTTAAAAGTCAGAAAAATAAAAGCAAGTTAGACCCCAAATAAGCAAAAGAATGGAAGCAATAACAATTAAAGTGAAAGCCAAAGAAATAGAAAAAAAAAAAAAAAAAGCAACAAAACCAAAGGCTAGTTCTTTAGTAGACAAATAAACCTGGGAACTTTAAGACAAAGGGAAAAAAGAATGCAGGCACAAATTAACAGTACCAGGAGTATCAGGAGACATGACAAGTAGAACTGTCTTTATGTGTAGATTTTGAAGACATTAGAAGGATATTAAGGGATTATACACAGTTTTATGACAATAAACTTGACCACGTAGGGTAAATGGACATATTATCTGAAAGGAAAAATGCACTCAAAGAAAAATATAGAACCTAATTATTCCTATAGGTACTAAAGAAATTCAATTTGTAGTTAAAAACCTTCTTACATAGTTAACTTGAAGTCTGGGTGACTTATGTGATGAATTCTACCAAACAACTAAAGAAATAATACAACTTTATACACAATTTTCCAGGAAACTGAAGAGGAGAGAACACTTCCCAATTCATTCTATGAGATCAGGATTGCCATTATACCAAAACCAGCCAAAGAAGTTATAAACAAACTACAGAAAAATATTCTTCCCGAACACAGATGTAAAAATTCTAAACAAAATTTGAGCAAATGGAATCCAATAAAATCATTATGACCAGCCAGGCATGGTGGCTCATGCTTGTAATCCCAGTACTTTGGGAGGCTGAGGCAGGCGCATCACCTGAGGTCAGGAGTTCGAGACCAGCTTGACCAACATGGAGAAACCCCCTCTCTACTAAAAATACAAAATTAGCCAAGCATGTTGGCGCGTGGCTGTAATCCCAGCTACTCTAGAGGCTGAGGCAGGAGAATCACTTGAATCCAGGAGGCGGAGGTTGCGGGGAGCCGAGATCGTGCCATTGAACTCTAGCCTGGGTGACAAGAGTGAAACTCCATCTTGGGGGCAGTGGGTGCAGCGGGGGGATCATCATGACCAAGTAAGACTTATCCCAGCAATTCAAGGTTGGCTCAATATCCAAATCAGTCAATATAGCTGGGTGTGGTGACGTGCACCTGTAATTCCAGCACTTTGGGAGGCTAAGACAAGAGGATCACTTGAGCCCAGGAGTTCGAGGCTGCAGTGAGCTGTGACTGCGTCAGTTCACTGTAGCATGGGCAACAGAGCAAGATCCTGTCTTAAAAAAAACACACAAAAACAATGTGATTTGTCATATTTACAAACAGACAAAAAACCCGATATGATCATCTCAACAGACTCAGAAAAAAACATTAAAAAAAATCTAATATCCATTCCTGATGATAATTCTCAGCAAAACAGGAAGACAAGACAATGTCCTTGATAAAGGGCATTTGTGAAAAACCTATACATTACATCATGCTTTTCAGTGTAAAGAAAAAGTCTTCCTCTAATATCAAGAACATGATAATAATGTCTGCTCTCACTATTTCTATTCACCTCCATAGTGGACGTTTTGGCCAGTGCAAGCAGGCAAGAAAAGACAAGACTTAGATTGGAAAAGAAGTAGAACTGTCTTTATGTGCAAATGACACGACCATTTACGTAGAAAATCCAACAGACTCTTTAAAAAAGCTACTAGAATGAGTTTAGCAAGGTTGTAGGATACATAATCAATACACAAAAATCAATTATATTTCTATATGCTAGAAACAAATGATTGGAAATAGCAAATAGAATAAAATTAGTTAGAAGACCACGGAAAATATAAAACACCTAGGGATAAATCTGACTAGGGATATGCAAGGTCCTGTTCATGGCAAACCACAAAACATTTGTGAGAGAAATCAAAGAAGACCTAAAGAAGTGGAGAAATATACCACTTCATGGTTTTGAAGACTCAATATTGCTAAGATGACAAATTTCTCCCAATTGATGAACAGATCCAATGCATTTCCTATAGAAACTGTAGTAGGACTTTATTGTAAAAACTGCCCAAATGATCCTAAAATTTACGAGGAGATACAAAGAATCTAGACTAGCCAAAACAACTTTGAAAATGAGGAACGAAGTTGGAAGACTAACAGTATCTGACTTCAAGACTCGTGATAAAGTTGCAGTAACTAATGCAATGTAATACTGATGCAAAGACAGACAAATAAGATCACTGGAGCAGGTCAGACTGTCTTTAAATAAACTGACACATATACAGACAACTGATTTTTGACACATATACAAAAGCAATCAGTGGAGAAAGGACAAATAGTGCTGGAACAATTGAATATCCACATGCAAAAAGATGAACTTCAATAAATAATTCATGCTGAATATAAAAATTAACTCAAAATAGATCAAAGACTAAAATGTAAAGCCTAAACCTGTAACACTTCTAGAAGAAAATATAGAAAAAACCTTTATGACCTTGGGTTAGGTTTTCTTTGATATAAAACCCAAAGCACAATCAGTAAAAGAAGGAATTTATAAATAAGGCTTCACCAAAATTAGAAACTGCTTTTTAAAAAATATTAAGAGATAACAAGAAACAAACTAGCAGTAAATATTTGCAAAACGTGTATCTAGTGAAGTACTTTGATCAAAGAGCATATCCAGAACTCTCAGAACTCAACAATAAGGCAATAACCCAAGTAAAAAATGAGCAAAAGATCTGAATTGAAGATAGATATACACGAATCAAACATATCAAAAGATGCTCAGCATCGTTAGCCATCAGGCAAATTAAAATTAAGACCATAATGACATACCACTACACACAGATTAGAAGGGGTAAAATTAGGAATAGTGATTACACCAAGTGTTGGAGGGAATGTGGAGGGAATGAAACTCTCAGGTATTGCTGGTAGGAATGTAAAATGGTACAATCCCTTTAGCAAACAGGCGGTTTCTTAAGAAGTTCGATATAAACCTACTATATGATACAGCCATTCCACTCTTAAGGTGTCTAGCTGAGCGACAAAAGCACTTGTCTTTACAAATACTTGTACATGGATGTTCCCAGCAGCTTTTTGTTTAAAATATTCAGCAAATGACAACAACCCAAAGGCTCATCAAGAGGAGAGGTGATGAGCTGTGGTACCTCCATTCTATGAAACGTTACTCAGCAATCAAAAGGAATCAATGAGTGACGGGGATGAATCAGGCTGAGCAAAGGAAGCCAGATCCAAGAAAGCACATGCTGTATGGCTGCAGTTATGTAACATTCTAGGAAATGGTAACCACATACAACAGAAAGTAGGTCAGTAATTGAGGCATGGGGCAGCCAGGACAGAAGGGACTGCCAAGGTGCATGAGGAAGCTTTCAGGGGTGAGAGATGTGTTTGTTATTTTGATTGTTGTGATGGTTTCACAGGTGTATACATATGTTAAGATGTATCAAATTTTATACTTTAAGTACGTGAAGTTTGCCGCATATCAATTATGTCTCCATTGAGCTGTTGAAAAGACCCTTTGATATTCTAGGTGGCACCAAGGGTGACAACAGTAGGAATGCACAAATGGCGGTAGGAACATTAAAAAACTCAAGTTCACAGGATTTGGATGTGAAGGAAAGGAAAGGCAGCAGTCAGGAATAATGCCGAGCTTCTGAGATTGGGCGACAAGAAGGAAGACTGTTCCATTAACACAACAGGGCCAACCAAAGAGCAGATAATGTGTTTGGTTTTGGACAAGCTGTATGCTGGCAGAATGTCTAATTAAAAGGGGCAGCTTAAAACATGGGGTGGTAGGGAGAGGTGAGAGACACTAGCCTTTGGAACTTCCACTCTCATTTTCTCTTCATACCTCTTTGTTATCCTTGACTCAAATTCTTCTCTGATCCCCAAAAATAAATTTTCCTCCATGTTATAATCCAAGTCCTCAAAGGAAGAAAATCCAAGTCTGGAAGAGTTCCATTCACCTACACATGACCTTCAGGGAAGCTCTAGGATCACAACTAGGGGCAAAGTATATCATTGTCTTAGAGTTCCAAACATGCACTTGGCTAAGTGGAGTTTTCATAGCCTCATAAAAGGGTCGTATGTCTTGGCACTAAGTGAATAAAGTGATGGATGAAAACTCAAAGGAAAAGGGCAGTGTGCACTACGGGATCTAGGAAAGTAGAGAGGGATAGGACCTATGAAGTCATTTCTGTTTGCTGCCCCGCTCCCCGGTTACATCAGTCCTTGCCAGAATGGAATTGTTCCTGAGAACTGCAGTGTGGTTCTTCACACTGGAGCCAAACGAAACATCTGTAAGTCTGGCGGGGTTTCAGGTGAGCACGCTGCTCAGAGGGCTCAGAGCCCTTGCTGGCAAGAGACTCCAATGACAGAGTGAACTGTTTTTCTCCTTCCTTATTTTATTTTAAATGTCAAAGCTTTTCACACTACAGTGACACCCTAAAATGATTCTCTTACTTCCATTGCTTCAGCTGAAACAATATTTTTTCATGCTCCATGGAGTGCCCATCAGCTGATTCAAAACCAGGAATGCAACGGGGTGTTCCATGTCAACGTGCCATGAAAAGGAAAGAAGAACAAGGCAGGATACAGGCTGGTGGGAAAATAATGTCCCTTTATCTTGAATGCTTTGCATTCTCTCCATCAGGAAATGTTCTTCACTGTTTTAAGGCACCGTACTAAGTTCGATGAGGTCCTATAATGTATACCAATGGACTAAAACAGCCCCAAGGCAAGACACTTAGAGTTAGAGATGACAAATGCGTATGCAACTGCAGAATGGCACAAAGTACTGTGCACAGTGAGAGGGGCATACAGCGTCACAGGAATTTCAGCAGAGCGAGACATGACTCTGCTGGGGTGTCCAGGAGGAAGAGCCATTATGGATGCAATGGCATATGCACTGGATGCTGAAAGGCCACAACAGAAACCATCAGAACTGGGAAGAAGAAATGACACCTCTAGGTAGAGGAAATGGCAAGACTCAGGCATGGGAGCACGAAATCCAAGGAATGTTGAAGGAATAATTCAGTGTACTTGAACAAACATTAAGCACCTATTGGTTACCACACACTGTGCTAACTGGTATGAATACAGAGACATCAATGACAACTGACAGTCGAGAGGAGTATTCATTCCGAAATGAGAGAGGTAACGTCAGTTTGACAAGCACAGCAGGCAGAGAGATGTGCCCAGCTCCACGCTACAGAAACCCTGGAACCGAACAAGGACAATGTCATGGTTAAAAGTGGGGATGCTACCAACAAAATATTTAGGTTTAAATTCCATGTCTGGGCCAGGAATGTTGGCTTACCCCTGTAATCCCAGCACTTTGGGAGGCCAAGGCGGGCTGATCACTTGAGGTCAGGAGTTTGAGACCAGCCTGGCCAACATGGCAAAACCCCACCTCTACTAAAAACACAAAAATTAGCAGGGCATACTGGCAGCCACCTGTAGTCCCAGTTATTAGGGAAGCTGAGGCAGGAGAATCGCTTGAACCTGGGAGGCAGAACTTGCAGTGAGCCGAGATCGCGTCATTGCACTCCAGCCTGGGCAACAAAGCAAGACTTGGTCTTTAAATAAATAAATAAATAAACTCATTCATTCATTCATTCCATGCTGCCACATACTTAGATGTGTTACTTTGCTAAGTTTCAGTTTTCTTCTCTGTAAAATGGGCACCATAAGTAGTATAATCTCACAGGATTATTGTGAGGACACATTTTAACAAGATAATGTATAGTCAGCCCTTAGTACAGGACCTAGCGCATGGCGAGTACTCCAGAGAAATACTAGTTATTATTCTTATTGTCAATACTACCGAGAACTGATCTTCCTGTCACTGAAAGGCTCATCTGCTCGGATGGCAGGCTATACCCAGAGCTGTCACTGGGAGATAGCGTCAGCCTGGAAGGGCCCCCTTCATGTTTCCGGACTTGGGTTTCCTCATCAGGAGGAGACTGAGTACGGTGTCGGTTTTACCGAGTCCAGACACTGTTGTCACTGCTCTGCCTCCACGACCTCACTGAATCTGCTCAACGGCCCTGTTCATCCTGCAGATGAGGAAGCAGAGGCGTGGGGAAGTCAACCCTTAGTCTAGGTCACAGAAGCGGTGGTGGAGGAGGGATCCGGAGAGGCACGCAGTCTCCAAGGCCCTGTTCTCGACCACCACCCTATGCTGCCTTTTAGGTTCACCACCTTCCACTCTTGTTGCCGCTTTCTGGGAAAGTGGCATTTGATCTGGTAGCCAAAGGGTAGAAAAAAGCTAAGCAAGACATGGAGATTCACCGAAACCAGGAAACGCACAGAACCAGACATCATGGCTCAGACGGGTATGGAGTTTTACAATTTAGAAAGTCTTTCACTCTCTTTATTATGTTTTCCTCTTTGGCCCCCAGTGACTGAGGAGCACCAACAGGCTAACAGAACCTCACATTAGAAACACCTCAGCCTTATATATTTGGGGCTGCTGACAGAGAAGACTAGGGGGCTAGGAGTCCGAGTGAACATTTTTTGGTTTAGGACTATTTTGAGAACTAGGGCTGAGTGTGACTGTTACCTGACACCACGTAAGCTTTGCTAATTTAAGACCTGATTTTCAGCATGCACCTGGCAACACTCTATACGAGCTGGACAACTCTGACCCTCCTTCCCCCTGTTTGTACAATGCAGTTGTTCTTAACCTTTATAGGATCACAGAGCCTTCAGGGGGGAAAGAAAAGAAGACTGTCACAGGCTCTCTCCCCAACACAGGCACACGCACACACATACCCTCATGTTCCTCACTCCATTCCATCATGCCCCAGTAGTCATCTTTGTATTCCTGGGATGCGGCACACTGCCTGGCACGTAGGGTTCTCAACACATGTCCTAAGAATGAATACAAGCATGTCTCTGCTCCACAGAATAGTAACTGTAAAAATGGGTAAGTTAGTGGTGGATCAGAGAGAGGTAGCATTTACTTCATTCGTTCAATCTGCAGCTACTTTTCAATGGCTATTCCATGTCAGGCACCGAGCTAGGCACGCAAATTTCAGAGACACACAAGATACAGTCCTTCAGCAAGCGATGTAAACTCAAAGGACTTCTGATCTTTATTTGCATAAAGATACTTAAGAAAATAAGCGTCATAAATTCTAAAAGATTTTCAAAGTGTGCGTGGAGCTTTGATTTTTTTTTTTTAACAGTACAGTATTACGTGCCTATTTTTATTTGAATGAATGCCAGGAAAGAAAATGGGAGACTAAGTTGTCTTCTGAACTCCATTTACAATATTAGGGCTTAGATTTAAGGTCATATGGAACACACATGGCTTAGGTAAAAGAAGCGAAAGCATTAAAAATTACTCCGAAGGATGTGTTGGATTTCAAGACTTGATCAGCAATTTTCCCTGGGATTATCAGCTTTGCTTAAAATATCACTTAATCTTTGTCTCAGGCTCCTTTTCTGTGAAATGGGGGCAATGTTCCTGGGGGTGTGGAGGAAGTGGCCAGAGGGCAAGAGAGGATGCAGTGTGGTTTAACGGTTTCCTGACTTTGAAGTGTTCTAAAAATACAGCATTTTCATCGCAAACATGTGATGGAGTATGTGTCAGCACAGCATTCTGTGTTGCTAGGGCAGCCCGACCAATGGGTTTTCATAGACTCACTCAGCTCTGCGGCTAATGCAGGGGGAGAAAGCCACAGAGCGATAGGCCCCACTCTTATCTCCTGAGCATTCTAGCCGTCTGGAAGACATGTGGCAGGCCCTCCAAAGACTGATTAGTCTAGGTTAAACAATCAAACTCTGCCATTTGACGAAGACTCTTCTTTTCGCCTCTTAAGCTGTCACACATTTATTTGCCTTGGAGTTTAATCTGTGGCATAAAAGCCTGACATGTCCCACTTAAAAAACTATACTCCTAAGTACAGATTAGAGCACAATTAGGTAGAGAGGAAAGCCTAAAATATACGATTACAAAAGTGTGTCTTTAATTTATTCATTACCTTTCCCCAAGTCTTTTTCTTCCTTCACAGAGATTAGAGCAAAGCCTTGGCTCTCGGAAGCACTTCCTTTGCAGGGAGTGGGCCTGGTGGAAGGGCCCCGTGTTTGCCACCTCTAGAGCTGAATACACCCTGTGCTGGACTTGCAGAACAGCTAAGAGCCAGCGCCACCTGGCAGCTGTATGGTGGCCTGTGTAAAACGGACTGGTGGTCACCGTCCAGTTCCCATTAGACAGATGTCCACTTCACAAAGGGAGCATCACACTCAGCAGCCCGGTTGGCAAAGGGGAGCGAGGACTGGGCACAGAACGCGCATTTCCTCTTTGCGCCGAACCAGGTTGCCTACTCCATAACGCTGACGCAGGCCAGGGCATGTGGCAGGTAGCATGGCTGCAGCTGTGGCCGCAGCGTTTCATGTGTAGGGATCTGACCTCTTTGCAAACACCTGAAACCCTCTTTTCAGATGTCGTCTCCTTTATCCTACCAGGCAGTCACGCTGTTCCAATCTAGGCTGCGGCTTACTGAGCCTCACAGGGGCTGTCTTCTAAGGCCACCACCAGGACATACTGGCTTCACCCAGAGAGTGACGGGCACTGCAACTGCCTACAACACTCTCCGCAGCCTCCACCATGGGGTTAGGGAGAATGCTTTGGGAATGGGAGGCAGAGAAAGGCCCTCCTCACCCGCTCCTGAGTTCATGGCATCTTCACCCCAAATCAACAAGCAATTGTTGAATCCTGAACAGAAAGGACAAAATGGTCCCTTATTACAAAACCTAACTTTCTACTGGAGAAGCCTTGACTATCTTACAGAGGATTTAAAAACTAAGGCCCCTATTTCCTTCTTTGCTGTTGAGGTACTTCATGCTGTCTGGAACGTGAAACCAGGCTGGTCTGTTTTCTCCCTGACTCATGGAAATGCAAAGGAAAAGTCCATTTCCAGCACTGCAGGGAAGTGTACAAATTAAGCAACATTTCTTCACTGATTTTTCTTAATTCATGCCAACATTTTGGTTCATATCCTCCTTTTAATAACCTAATTTTCTCTTTTTTTTTTTTTTAATTCACACATGCAAACATAAGCCAACAAAATACAAACACCCAAGGTAAGCTAACCTGACTTGAAGGAGTATATTTAAGAAGCAACACAGAAAGTAAAAAAATAAGGAGACTTTTATTTCTTTCATCATGCTGCATTAACTACATGAGAAGGAACTTACTCAGAATTGCTATTAATTTTAATACCTCCCTACTAAACATTCTGTGTAGGGGATGCCTTAGTAATGTGAATTTTTTAGAAAGGGGTGTTTTTTAGAGAGGGGGATTTATGAAAGCTAGTATTAACATGTTTACTTCCTTTTCTAAGTTGCGAGTCTTCTAATAACCACCTTAACAATACTTCGTCCAAATGAGCCACCCTATATAGGCTTCTGCAACCAGTGGTGATTCCAGGAAGGGTGCAGGGGTGAGAAGGAACCAGCGTCTCACTGAAATAACCTTCCTGCCAATGGTTAGCGCAGGATGCTTAGACATTCTGCATTAAAGTGAGCAAGCTTCCTCCTCCACTGGCCACAGAACACCACTCTAACGCTAACCCACCATCTTCAAAACTGAGTGTAGCTTGCAGTACAAGAGGCTATGTAAAAGCGGATGAAGGAACTGGGATAAACATTGAAAAAATTACCCAAAAGTAACGCCTTGTTGATGGTAGTTTACTCACACTGTCAACTTTGAACAAAGCACACAGAAAGGTCTCTCTGTGGCAGAGAGAACATCTGAAAGCATCTGCATCTGTACTGTTTTCTAGTCCATCTAGTCTACACTACCTAGCAGCCTTTATTCAGTTTCCACCATATGCCAGGCGCTGTCCTAGGCAACTTACATTCAACATTTTATAAGCAATGCCACACCCATTCGAAAACAAATGGCAAAGAAACAAATTAACTTTGGGCTATTGCAAAGTTTAAAATACACGTCAGAGTTCCACACACATACATACATGTCTCCTGTGATGGTTAACACTATCAGTCACTCTTTGGTGCCAAGGGGATTTTGATCCATCAGGTAGGGGCTGGCAGCTCTTCCTCAGGACCCTACACCAAACACCATTACAAGGAAAAGGGTACGAGGACCCGCTTGATGCAATGCTGATGGCTTCGTTATGCTAATAAGAGGACTGTACATTTTCTGTCCTTGGATTTAATGGAGAACCCTCAGAAAGGCTCATCAGTGAAACTTTAGCCTCTTCTTGTCCTAAACTCCCTATAGGGAGGGGAACCAAATGAAGACAAAGGGGAAAAAGGGGAAAGAGGAGATACGGGCATGTAACCGAAAGGAAAAAACGTCAGACGTGTACCATCACATGGCCTTGGTTCCTCTAATGTTCTCTCACTTCATCTTTATTATATGAATAGCACAGGATGATCACGCTCTCTAGCGCATTCTCTGCTAAACAGAAAACACACGCGCACAAGAACACACATGCATGCATGTGTGCAACGGACATGGCTAACCCGAAACTGGTTTTACATTTCGAGGTAATTGTGGCTCTCCTCTCTTTACTACAGACAATTCTTTCTCTCCTTCTGGGGCAAAGAACATGGCTTGCTCATCTTTATGTTCTCAGCACTGAGAATGATGCCTTGCACACAGTAGGCACCCAGAAGCATCTACTGCCACATGACTGGTGCTTTGGTAAACACTGTGTCAGCTGCCGGCACCACATTTTTCATCGTTTCTGTTCTATATTCAGTTCAACATTAAAACGGTCCCAGGGCTTTGAAGGGTACCCTAACCTCAACTCATTGTTACAAAAGGGCTCTGCATTAAGCCTATGTGAGAGCTGACCGGAGGCCCCCTCCTGGGGACTGCTGGGTGAGCTGCCCCACCATCTCCTTAACTTTTGTAACATGCTCTAAGTTCACCACCTCGTCTCTGTAAAAGTTTGGCTCAAACTCTACATGTTGCCTGCTGTTCCAACATTTTAAACATCAGCAGCAGTATCCCAGGGTTTAGCATTAATTGAAAGAACTTATCTATATATAGCTTCACTCTGCACTTTAGCGTCTTCAAAACTTCAATCATATTCTCTCTTTTTTTTGAGAACACAATCCCTCCTTTTAATGTCTTGCTACAGCCTTTCCCCCTTTTCAATCTCATGACTCAATGCTCTGAGGTCTTTTAAGTTAACCTCCTAGACCTTTCCATGTGGGCTCACCTTCCCGGACCTTTGCGATTCATGCTGCTCTCCCTTGGAACTCCTCCATCTCCTTGATATCCTTCAAAAACGTTTCCCAATATCAGGTACAGTGGCCTAGTTAGGAGCTAAAAAGCTTTCTGTGAAAAGTGGTGGATTACCTGTTCCGTAACACTTGGTGTCTGGTGCATCACTGGGAACGTTTAGCATTTGGGGCGGGGGGGCAGACTTTAAACATGTTAATACTAGCTTTCATAAATATCCCTCTCTAAAAAACACCCCTTTCTAAAAAATTCAGATTACTAAGGCATCCCCTACACAGAATGTTTAGTAGGGAGGTATTAAAATTGATAGCAATTCTGAGTAAGGCCTTGTTTCCTCTGCTCCTCCCCCTCCCTGATGTTTGCGTTATTTCTTTACTTGACTAGGATGCAGTTCCCATTAAACTATAGTAGTTTGGGAAGGATTTTTTCCCCAAAAGCTAAAAAGGCAACAAAATAGCAGCAATTCATGAACTTAGTAAATGCAGACAAAGCTGGAAGACTACTATAAAGAGACAGGTTTTGACCCACATGCGGGTAAAGCTGCAGAATTTGTCCTACATAAGCAATAAAGCCCAACATATTTTATAATGATCAGATGGTGGGTCAGTTAAATAGTGTGGTGAGTAAATATTCTCTCAGCCCTTTAATTCTTCTCCCTAATTCCTATTTATGATCTTCCAGTAGAAATAGAGAAATTATATTCCTTTATTCTTCAAACTGATCACTGTCCAGAGTGTATCTTATGGGTTTCTCCAATGTGAATTAATACCTGAATGTGGATACTGGATTAGAAACATGTCTGTCACTTACATAGAGAATGAAAAGAATACTGATCCAAAATACCAATTCCTGCAGTGTTTCCAAGGCCATCTCCACTGTCTGACCCATTGGCTTTACCATTACAGCATTCCCCAGTGTAGCTAACTAGCCCCTTTTTCCATTTACAGCAAAACTTTCTTCTCTGCTTGCCATTTGTGTGTGTGTGTTTGTCTATGTGATTCAGGCTTTGACAAATTCCTGTACAGCATAATCCACCAGCTCACACATGCCTTTTTTTCCTGCATTCCTTTCTCTGTAACAAAGACTCATCAAGGCAAATGTAGAAACATTTGAAGACATATTTGAAGACCTTGATTCTTTAACATAGGTAAGAGCTCTAGTTCACTACAAATTTCCTTAGTATTATACCTAATATACATCACTCAGATAACCTCATGTCTGACTGATTCCCCACGGAATTTCTCAGTATGGGTCGGAACATCTTCAATTCTCCCGACTGTCTCAGAACCCAACACATTATCGTCATCATTTCTATTTTCAGAATATATAAACCTATGTCAATCTGTCGCTAAATCATCTTATTTTAGCCTAGTTTCCACTTTTTCCCTTTTGGTCAATTATCTTTCCAGCCCTTCTTAGGTTCCAATGGTTTCGAAGATCATAATGATTATTCTGTACTTATTCATGGCTGTACGCTCTGGCATGCCTGTGAGCTGTTCTCGTAAAAGGTTTGGCCCACCCAATATTAGATAATGAAGCAGGAGAATGGATGGCCTCAGAATCAGTGAAATTATGATGAGGTTAGAATCTGGGGCTGTATGTCCAAGGATGAAAATTCAGTCTTTTAAGAATCTACTAACATAAGATACAAAAAGCAGTACTAATTATGCTAGTGGTGTTTCACGTTTCACCATGGTTGGAATTATTCAAGATAATAAACTTCTTCAAAAGGTATGTCATGATTTTTTAATTAATGCTAGAATTCTGAACACTTCTAAAATACAACTTAACTATGGTTAATTTTAAACTTTCATTAGAAGCAGAGTGTGAAGGAGGCAGCAAGTAAACCTTTCAACCCGAATGCCTGATTATCTGGGGTCTCTGGAGCGAAAGCAAGGAAAGGCAGGTAGGTCACGCTAAGGCAGCTCTGAGGCAATGTGTGTGAGTTTCAGAGTAACTAACAGCGTCACCCTGTTGACAACACCTCTCCTTCTGGCCAGGAAACTGGACTTGTCCCCTCCAAAGGACTGGTTGCCTAATGCCCCCACGGTATGGTAGCCCAGAGTGGTACAACTGGGTGACTGATGGTAAGACATCTCTAGTGGGGAGCTATCTCTTTCTTGCTGGCTGCAAATAAAAAGGCAAGTGAGGCTTCTAGACAGGCAGCCTAGACAGGCAGCCTAGACATGCACTCAGTGGCAAATGCAAATTGTGAGATCACCTAGACTTCACTTTTTCAATCTACCTGCAATACGTGCTGGAGGGATTGAAACAGAAGCCTAGAAACCCTGGGTTTTCTTTTCATGTCACATTTCTACCAAAGAAGTCTGTTCTCCTTTCATCCAGCGCCTGTTTTCTTTATTCTTCTGCTACTTTAATTCCAGAAAAGCAAAGCTACTGGGGAAAAGACGACTGGGGACTAGCTGAAGTCTTAATGCCCCAGACAGAAGAGAAGAAAACAAAATGGTTAAAAGCGGCCAGGAGTAATTTCTTTTCTTCTTTGATATTAGCTCGCTCTGTCGGTCTTTTTTGTCTCCCTCCTTCCCCTTCTTCCTCCTTTTCTCTCCAGAGATATAAGGATCAAAACGTACCCATGATAGGTATTATCTGCCAGGGCAGACGCTGCCCTTTGATAGAAGTCACAGAAATTCAGCACTGTGACCGACGGGCACAGTCTCGGCATCACCAGAGTATGGGGCATTTAAAGGGATTCCTTCTTCCTGTAACTTAAAGGAGGCTTATTTAACCTTTGTCCCTGGCTTTATCTCAATCAGCACAATGGCTAGAGTCAGTATCAGTAAAAATATTTTAAAATTGCATTTCATAAAATGAATTGTTATATCTTTTAATATAGCTGTATGATGTAGGCAGTGAAGCCACCTTTCACAAAGATGTGACAAGGATCCTCCGCTTGCATGAATCTAAAAATTCTGACTGCATTTTATGTTTGTCCCATAGGTCGTCGGTCAGCCAACAATGAAAGGATGTCACAGTAAGTAACACAGAGCCTTCTGTTAACATAACATTAATTCAGGATGAGATGCCCTTCCTGTGGGCCACTGAGGCAGCACCAAAACTGGGGCTGTCCCAGAAAATCTAGGGCAGCAACCCTGCTTTTCAAGAAATGTAGGACAGAAATCCCATTCCCTACTTGCATGCGTTAAAATGTAGTGTAGGTTCATCTTCCTGCAGTTTGAATTCTTTCTCAATTCCTGATTTCAAGATAACATTGCTTAAATAAACGGGCTCCCAGGTCCACTTCTATTACTTAAGTGAACTTTCGGACATGTTTTTAGGAAGAAAGGAAAGGCATGAAACATGAAAATGACCCTCCCCACTCCAGTCCTCCATAAAGCGGCCAAAGGCATTCCTTACAAACCTTTAACATTTTAAAGAAGAAACAAATGGTTTGTAAGATGATCAACCCGCTTTAGACCATGCCAGCAGCACTCACACATTTGTTACCTTAGTGAATATGTAAAGCAACTTGTGAAGTGGGTATTATTTCTACTGCATGGATAAAGAAAGCAAGGCTCATTCTCTGCATGAGCTGGTCATGATAAGTACCAGTACTAAGTCCTCTTCCCCAGGGCCTACCCTCACTCTACCATGGCACAGAAGAAACTTCTGGATTTAGGGCTACCTTCGGGCCAATTCTGAAATAAGTAAAGTTAGTCTTTGGTGTCTTTATGCTTCTGTTCCTGTTTCCTTCTTCCTGTTCATTCCCCAGCAGTCTGGTCTGATTCTCAAGAAACTTTTCCATTGTACTGAACTAGAGAGAGATTGAGACAAACTAAGATTTTACTAACGACTTCCTGAAGGCTGAAGTAAAGCCTTTAAGATGGAAAGAAACAACTCATCATCCTATTCGAAGATCAGTCGGGCCAGCCCCAGTGTAACCCTCACTGCAGCCTGACCAAGACGAGGCTGAAACAGCAAGAGCATCTAACCCACACAAAAGCTGCTCTTGTGAAACTTAAGGTAATAACTCTTCCCAAAGAAGCCATGAATACAATTTCTGATCCATCCAGAAAGCTCTGGCTTGCAGTACTGTTGCGATGCAGTTGCACAGCAGTTATGCCATGACCTCCCAACATACTGCAAGAAAAAAGGAAGTTTTTTCCTTTGGTACGTAGTGATAGTCAACAAAAGCCACTTCCCTTTTCTATTTCTCTTTGAGCTGAGAAGTTGCCAAAAGAGACCAGTAAAATGTGATCAACAAGACATTTGGTTAGGACTGAGGTGCTGTTCCTACCTTCTAATCTCAAATGCCAAGTGATTTTAATCTATCACTCGGTTTTCACTTCCATAAAATCAGAATGACAGTACCTAACCATTTAAGTTTAGAAAAATGTAAAGTGTTCATTATAGAACACGCTTTCTCAGAGTGCTATGATTTGGGATTGTAACTTTGATTAACTAACACATTACGAGAGCGATGATCCAAAGCACATAATTTATCTACTGATTCTAGGTTCCAAGTATGGTCTCGCTTGAACACACTTTCCATATCTGCCAACTTCTCCCATTGAACATCAACTGCCAACCCTTCAACTCCTCCTCCTCCACCTCCTGGACCAGGAGCTGTCTTTCAGCATTGCCGGCTTCCTTACTTCAGACCTCCGAGAGAACTTCCTAGCATATCTGCTACCCTTCCTGGCCTTCTACGATGCCTTCTTGAACATCTCCAACTCTGGGTTCTCTATGACTCTGTATCTTTCCTCACTCAGGGATAAACAGTCCACAACCATCAGGGCCCACTCCAGATGGACATGATCTAAGTGTGACCGGCCTCTCCCTGCTCTTCAACAGTTTTACCACTCTTTCCATTCAATTTCCCAAAGCAGTCATTTCAAACCTTTTCCATTCCTTTTAAGTCTTCAATTCATTGGGACTTCAGAAATTTCCTATTTACTGAGAAGTCTGAGGGCAGGCGCTTGTACGAAGTGTCTCCTATTTCTGAAACTTTGTGTTGTTACTCCTTCCTGAATGCCCCTCTGTCTCAAATGAAGTATCTTTCCACTCTTTCACAGACCTGAGGCAGAGTCATCTCTACCTTACACTTTGACAATCTCCTTTGCTGTACAACTTATCATTTGCTGAACAAACAAACTGCATGTCTAAGCTTCCTCTCCCTTCATGCCAGACTACTAGAAAGGCACATCTACACTCAGCACCATGTATACATCCATGCATTTCCTTTCCCCACAACCTCTATCCTTCTTCTGAAATACTCTTGGGTCCTCCCAGTCACCAAATCCCATGGTTTTTCTTGGCCTGCATCCTTCTTGACTCTTCTGTGACACTGCAGACTCAACTCAATCAAAACTGAACTTAATGCTCTTCTCCTCCATTCCCACCACTGCTGACTGTGCTCACAATCCTCCCAGTTAAGCCAAAGCCTCCTGGTCTTCACTGAGCCCAATTTAGTTATCAAGTCCTCTTCCTTCCACTGTCCGTCTGTCCCTCAGCCTCCCCTTCCATTCCCATGACAGACGACATCCTGACCTCAACACACGTCAACACACTGCATCAGCCTCTGAGCCTCTTGTTGCTAAAATATTCCTAGAGTCTCGAGAGTCTAACAAAGGAATTTTAAATCCTTCAGCCTGGGAAGGAAGGCTTGCTAAGAGCTGCTCTAGCCTATAGCTCTAGGCTTTGTGGCCTTCCCTTCTCTACTTCATGTCACGTATTTCCCATTTCCTCTGAACTGTGGGAGAATTCACAGTTCCCAGAAATTGCCCTGCACTTCCGCACCTGCATGCCTGAAGCAGGCCAGTCCATCCATTTGTAATGTTCACCATCATTATTTACTGAAATCCTAAGACTGTTTTCAAGATTTGGTAAAGATGCCATCTTTTTCATCTCCCATAAGCTGCGACTTATTCATTTCCTCGCTCAACTTCCATGGTTCCAGTAAGCCCATCTCTTTCTTACTCATTTACTCTTAGCTCATGTTCTTTTGTATGAGAGTTACCTGTGGACCTGCCTTCTTGTCCCTTTTAGAGTTTACGTTCTTGGAGACATTGATGGAGATAATAACAACAACTATGATCATCATGACTGCCATAACCAGCTCCTACTGTATCCTAGCTCTGTGGAGAGCACATCACCTCATCACACAGCAACACTACAAGGACTGCCTCCACTTTAAGATGTGATTAAGTAACATGCCCAAGGCCCGTAGCAAAGAAGCAGTAGAGCCAGAAATTAAATTTAGGGTTCTCCAATTTCAGAAGCCATGTTCTTAACTCTCTGTGGTATTGCTCACCATCTACAGACCAAACAGATGAACCCTGAATAAAACACACTTTTCCAAAGTCCTCATGTGGGAGAGAGTTTACTGAGCCAGAGTCCCCAGAGTTACTCAGCCTGCTTGGTCAATACATGCCCCTACAGTGAGAATATAGGTATCTCAGGCTCGAACCCTGAAAGGATGATTTCACAAGTATGACCAAGTCTTTGTGTCTCACGACTAAACAGAAGATGAAATGGAAAGTGAGGGGGAAAATCTAATTCACCAGGATTATTAGGTAACAGCCTGACTGTCTCTTTGCCTGGGACCATCAACACGGGTAAGGCAATGAATCAAGGCCTCTCCAAAAGCCTCACTCACATAACCCAAACCACCTCCAGTAATTCTAGTTTCTGAGGCTCTGATATCAGCCCTGTGAAAACATGATAATTGTACTCTGCCGACAAAGTCTGAATCAAAGTAAATGTGAGGTCTTATTTTACATGTAAACAGGCAAAATAATAATGGCATGCATAGGTATCAACATGAATAAAGTGGGGGCTGTTGCTCTCTCTAGGTAAGCGGCTAAGGGCTGTAATCCTCTGAGAGCAATGTCATTATACAGCTCAAATCCCATCACAACAAATACCTTCACAACAGAGATGTCTGTATAACAAAAGCTCTTTCAAGCTTTGGCTGACAGCCCACATACTTTAAGGAATATTTGATGTGAGACTTGGAGTTCACAGTAATGGGAATTGACCTGTATTTCCAAAGGTAAGATTTGAATGATTTCATCTCTAACTCCTACCCCATGATATCATGGGGTGGGAATGATGTACAATCTAAACACCTGAGTATAAAAACTAAACACAAAGACAGAAATGAAATCAACTCATTCTTCAAGAATGAAATTTCTTCCTTTCACTTGGGGAACACTTAAGTAAAGGAGACTGCCCCTGACCCAGGCCCTGAAACACAGCACACCAGGGCTACTCTGCCATCTCATCTCATGAAGACGCAAAATGGTGTAGTCCATGAAGACAGATGGACCATGTCCGAATCTCCACTCTGTCACTTAACAGCTGGGCAAACGGGGCTATGTTTCTTAACTTCTTATAAGCCTCAGTTTCCTCATCTGTAAAATGTGACTACCACCACCTACCTTCTGGATTTTGGTAAGGACAAAATGAGGACACATGTAAAGCTCCTGACACAGGGTCTGAGATACATAGCACGTGCTCAAAAAAACTTCCCTCATCAGGCCTCCCTTCTTCTGCAGCCCCACGGGCTTCTGCAAACTATTTTCGCCAAATTAGTAATCAGGCACAGTGAACAGAAGTTAACAAAATGTATAGTATCAAATATAGGCTGGTAAAAAATGCTGCTCATAGGAACATCTGGGCAAGAGAGAGACAATGGGAGAATAACTAGGCCACACATAGGTACTTACCTGACTGGGAAAAAGGACTTTTTGGCCAAGGTAAGATACATGTATTCCATGGCTGAAAGTCCCGGAACCAGGCATCATAACAGTAAGTGAGCTCTGACCATTATGTCAAAGGTAACTTTTAAAAATGCTGATAAACCAAAATTTGGAGTCGCATTTTCCTTGTCAAGGATGAATTGTGGTTATTTCTCTAAAGCATAGTTTACTGCCTCTGGTCTAGTTTTCCCTAGGTGACAGTCTGGCTGGTGAGAGAGCCCTTATTTGGTGATTTTTAAATTTATTAATTTTTTTAGCTCTAGCCTATTGTCTTTCCTCAATAGCATACCATGGAAGTATTAAAACAAACTCTAGTCTTCTCCATTTGGAAAACATGTAGGTAACCAGTATCAGAATATGTCCAATAAAGGTATTTAATATTGCGCTCATTTGTGAAGTTTAAAAATCTACAGATTCTCAGTTATCTGATCTTTCTACGTCTCAAATAATGAGGCAATCAAGTTTGTGGTGACAACATTCTATGTGCTTTTTGAAACAACCTTGCTACTACGTTTGGAAAACTAGAGTGTTATGAACACACTCCGAAGACACGCATGTCCACCTTTCTAAAACGAGTACTGGCCAGGGGCTCTTCAGTTCCTTAAGAGGCTTCCAAAGCCCTGCCAGACCCTGGCAACAACAGGGAACAAGAGGAACAGCCCAAAATTTCTCGGAGTCACAGAATGTCAGTCTTAAAGATTTCCTAGTTCTATCATTTCACCTTGCCAGTAAGGAAAAGGGTTAGAGAAAAGTATGTGCCAATATGTTCGTGTGCCCAACCGAAGTGTATACACAAGCCAAGTGATGCTTTCAGAGGTCTTAGGAGAAGCAATATAGAAATAAAATAACATGCCAGACAGAAACACCAAGGCACAGAGCAAAAGAAACTGTGAGGCCCGCAGAACAACAGAGAGGACTCCTCAGTAGAGAGACTGAGAGATCAACAACAGAGAAAGAAGAAAAAATTACTAAAGCAAAAACGTTAAAACAGCAACAGAGACCAAGTGGTAGCAGCAGAGTAGATATTTTAAATTCAGTCTGCAAAGAGCTTACAAAGTAAGACTCCAGGGCATAGAAGCATCACACTCCTCACAATGGTTTCTGGGTCTCTATCTCATTAATGGCACCCACTGCCCCCCATCACCGTCATCTTAAAATGGAGGCAGTAACAACTACCAGATCCTATACCTTCATCTCCACACTGATAAGGGCGTAACCCTCAAGCATTTGTGAAGGTGTCCTAACTATGTCAGGCCACTAGGGTGCTGCTCCCAGCTCCAAAAGGCAGATTCACCTCACGGTCCCCACCTGACCCCCAGGAATGGGTGTCCCTTCTTCAGGGGAGCCTTTTCTCCCTCGCACCAGTGGCATCACGTCAACTGTTTATAAGCTACCTAGAGGTCCCCACAGGCTATGGAAAAGTGAAATGCAATTGTAATTACATGGGCAAGCCTAGGAACGTAGGGGTGGGAAGAGTTAGGTCCTGAAATACAAGGCTGGGAAACGCGATTCCTCGGAGAAGCAACCACCCCGCCCAAGCACAGGCTGGGCTGCCTAGAAAGTGACCTCCCGGGAGCGATCACGCGCCTGGACCGAGCCTCTGCGCTCCCGCCCTGCCTCGGTCCCTCTCTCCCGCCTCCAACCTGTCCCGGCGGGCAGGCGGGCGGGGGTGCGGGGAGGAGTCGGGAGCAGCCCCTGGAGCACAGGGGCCGCCAGCACCGGCTGCTTCCAGCCCTCCTGCCTACCCGCCCTTCCTCCTGCAGGCTGGGGGCTCGGACAGCCCCAGTGCCCCGCGACGCCCACCTGGACGCCTGGCGACCCCCGCCCCGCGCTCTGTACCTTTACTCTGCGGAGGGTTCTGACTCCGGTCCCGGAGGACGTTGATCTGGTAGACGGCTCCGTAAGGCTCAAAAAGTTCTTTCAGCTCCTTTTCCGACCATGACCGGGGGATCTGTCCGACAAACATCTTAATGGCATCTGGGTCTGGTTGGTCTGAGTGATCCAAAGCTCCGTTCATCTTGTTGGCTGTGCCGTTACTGTCAAAAACGGAACCGGGAGCCAGAGTTAGGGCGGCACGATGAGGGACAGGAAGAAAAAATAGTGGGGGTGGGGGAGCGGGGAGGCGGAAGGAGGAGGAAGAAGAGCAGTGGCAAAGTGCCTAATGAGTCGTAGAAATTTGATGAACTAAAACAAAGCGGAGGCACCATGAGTTGCTCCTCGGCGGCGGCGAGGCTCTCACTGCGTGCTGCTGTCGAGCAGAGCCGGGGGAGCACGGGGCAGCGCCCTGCCGCCTGTCACCCAGGGCGTGGACATCTTGGAGGCTCGGGAGGCAGCTGCAAGTTAAGTGCAGGTCTAGCTCTGCAAGGCTGCCATCAACGCATCAGCGCCTTATCAGCCCTACCCTGGCTGTGGCTGGGAAAGAAAGGCAGAGCTAGATGTCTGCTGGATTTCTCTCCCTCTCCCTGCCCCGCCCCCCGCCCCACCGCCCTTTTTGGGAGGTTTTTGGAAGAGAGGAGAGAGGTGGTAATAATAAAGTCACATGGAAAGAAAATGAAACACTTGGCAGTCCGTCAGATGACTAATGCAAGATGCGGGTGATGAATTTGCAGAGTGCGCGAGGCATCCATGTGTGCATCAAATTAGTACGTTGTTGCTACTCAGAATGGAAAGCGGTCCAGCTATGCAGCTCTGCGCAGCTGATTGGCTGCCCACGCTGGAGAAAAAGGCCGGAGCTGGGAGGGGGCTCCCCTTTAAAAAGCACATTGTTTATGGGACCCAGGCACAAAGGGTTTAATTCAGAGAGGCAAAGGAGATCTCAGAATTGCCTGCTTTGTGCTGGGTTAAAAAAAAAAAAAAAAGCAGCCCCAGAAAGTTGAGTTCCCACTAAAAGACACTGAATATTTCAAATCTCTCACACTCCATAAATTGTTCTCTGTATATCTGACTTCCAGATGTTGCACTTGAGTTCTAAACAATCACACGTTTGGGAGAGAAAAAAAGAAAGTCTGCCTTTTCTTCTCCCAGCTTCAGTAAATATTTGGGGCTGACAGAGAGCACAACCATAAGCTTTTGCATATCAGTCCTCCTCAACGCTGTTTCCAAAATCCCCATTTGGAAGAGAATGCTGTGTACAGCCCGCACTTCTAGTCACCATCAAGTAATACGATGATGAAGACATGTCTTTTTCACTTGCCCCCACCCTCCTTTGAGCAGGAATAAACAGTAAAGCAAAACCATGTACCCTTTTTGTGCCCCCTACCCCCGCTCCAAATATACCCTGAACCCAGCTACTCTGCCAAGTGACAAGGCTGAATGCCTCTCGGCAGCTCATTTGCAGCACTGCGCGCTTGCTCCAGCTTCTCAGCCTGTGAAAATAGAAGGCGCCGAAACAAAGCAGGCAGAAGCTGCCCCTACAGAGCCTCCTCCATGAGCAGACCCACCCCAAAAAGCAGAGAGGTCAGAAAGGGGACATGCTAACTAATACTAAACTGCAAGGGCCAGATGTGATCTCCCTGTAGCTTCCTGGTACTACCAAGAAGGTAGACAAAGATCTTACAGAGAGCTACTTACTTGGTTAAAATGAAACACCAGACAAATACACCATCAGAGCACTTTAAATCTGCTGTGGGTCTAGGATGGCCCTAAGCCCCTAAAAACAAGATACTCATGGTTAAAAAGCCAAAACCCTACGGGGTAAGGAAAAATCCTGAATGAGATTCAACCTAGAGAGGAAAATGATGTCAAATACTCTTCGCTAGGTCCTGGTTTCAATTTCTACTTCTTCGTATCCCCCTATTTTACCACTTTATTTTTTTATCCTTGAAATAAACAATCAGACTGTCTAACTTGAAGCATTTTCAGAGCTTGCTCTAATCAACCTTATTGTTATAAAAAATGTTCTGCTGAATAAAATACTGAGTACAAAATCTTCTCTCAACAATTTTGGTGTAATGTAATCCTTGTTTATATTAGAGCCAGATTGTTTATCTTGTTCTTATGCACCTATCCTTTTTAAGTCGCTCTTTGAGAATTCAATCAACACTTGAACCCTGTGGGTCTGTGGCTGTAGCGGGGTGGAGGCAGTGGAGCCCCTTGCAGTACAGCATGTCATGTTCACACCCTGTCGGGGGTTGAGAGTGTGGCAAGACTTATTTCTGGGACAGGAAAGACTTGTGGTTACTGCTGTTGACAACCAGCTAGATTGAAAAGAGGAAGGTATTGCCACAGGTCTCGGCTAACAGAAAACAGAAGTTCAAAAAATGGGGCTGCCGCACCTCATCTGCGGAGCACATAATGTAACACAATGGAGAAGGGAGTGGCATTGTACTAGTTCTAGTGTCAGAATTCTAGAGCAAGCAGTCTTCAATGCTTCTGCAAATAAGAGGCCATTTACTCTTTTTCGAAAAATATAAACTCACCAAGATGCATCAAGTAAGGGAAGTAGAGGAGCCGGCCAATGCCTCATGCCTCTGGCCTGTATGTGGCTGGTGTACATTAGTATTTCATCCCATGAGCCATGCTTCACCGCTGCCTGGAGACCTCTCATCTAGAGGCAGTGTGGTACAGGGGCTCTGAGTTCTGGCAGCACCTCTTCCTAAATGTGCTACTCTGGGCTTCAGACTCTTATCTGTAAAATGGGTATAGCGGACTCCATCTCTTAGACTCATGTGCTTAATACAAGACATGGCACAAAATAAGGGCTCTCTCAGTGTCGGCTATTCCTACTGTTAATTCCTTCTTTGCATCTGTGAAGCATCTGAAATGAGTGACCATCAAAAATCTACTTTTCAATTCAAAATTTTTATAGTATAGACTCAACCACAATTCCTATCCTAAATAATAATATGTGTATTTTGGTCATCACTTATATAGCAAATATTGTGATAGGTACTTTACATTTTTTTCACCCCCCCCACCCCAGTTTAGGCTACTTTGAAACCTACATTTACTCAGTCACATAGTGTGTCTCCATCTCCACAGATTCCCTTCTTCTCTATTCCTACAGAGCCACCCATGAGCACCTCTCATTTCTATCTACATCCTTGCCAAACTACCTGCCCTTTTGGAAGTAACTTTTCCAAAGATTTGCATCAAGTTCTAAGGGCAGGACAATCCCTTCCTTAAGTAAATCCAATGATGTCCACTTGCTGTACAAGTTGAAATATCACCACCCCCCACCTTCCTGATCAAAAGCAAAATAGGTGGTCCTGTCCCACCAACCTCTCTCCTGGCGCTGCCGAAATGGGTGGTCCTGTCCCATTGACCACTCTCCTGGCGCTGCCAAAATGGGTGGTCCTGTCCCATCGACCACTCTCCTGGCGCTGCCTCAATAGGTGGTCCGGTCCCACCAACCTCTCTCCTGGCACTGCTGAAATGGGTGGTATGGGTGGTCCTGTCCCACCGACCACTCTCCTGGCACTGCCGAATCACATGCCCTGAATCCCCACAGTACTGCCGCAGCTTGGTTTACTCCCTTCTCATCCACCCAAATGAATCCTGCTCTGGACTCCCAACTCTCTCCCTGGCTGATGCTCATTTTTAGCGGAGACTCACTGAATTCTTTCATCCTCATGGGGCTGTAGCACTGACACTTCTAAGCAAGCCAGAAATTATGTGTTCAACAGTTAAACCTTTGGAGGTACCTGCTAGAAACTAAGGACAGCCAATGTGCTCTTCAAAGAGAAGTAATTACAGGAATAGACACCCCAAATCTCAGCAAGACCCCTGAGAAGATCTCCTATTTACAACAACCTCATCTAGGGCTTAGAAAATCAGACTAGCTTGCTTCTCTTCACTCCCTAGCCATTCTCAACACCCAGTACAGTGCCTCTTACAGTCCAAGAATTTACATCCAAATTCAAATAATATTTATTGAGGAGCTACTCTTTGCCAGAAACCTTTGCCAAGTACTTGATATACAATACTCTTCAACAGCTCCCGCTGGAATCATTATCTGTTTTGGAGATGAACCCAATGAGAGTCAGAGATACATTGACTTTTCCAATGTCACACAAAAGGTGCCTAGAGAATGTGAATGCAGTGAGAGGTGAAGGTCAACTGCCTCTGCTTCACGTTCCATGAGTTGGGTTTCTCCAGGTGGACATTTCCCAACTCGGTGACCACTCGCAGGCCCCAGACACATGCGCACACATCTCTGCTGGCACCTTGCCTGCAAACTGCAATGAGATCCTGAGTGCCAATTCTGCTAGTACCCTTGGCAAGGAGCCAGCTAGAAGGCTCCTCTAAGACAGATGCCATATGGAATAAGACCGCAAGTCTGCAAGCACTACGCCAGTGGGCAATAGTATTCTCAGTGTCAGAGACAAGATGAAAATGAAATCTTGTTCGGAAAAACGATGAGTGCTTACTTTTTAGTTTTAACCCAGGCACTGACCTACTTCCCTATTTTAGAGGAAAAATAACTAGATCAACAGAGTATATGCAAAATCTTCTGAGGTCCCTCTAATCAGTAAACTATTATAATAATTGATTCAACATATTATTTTTACTAGTTTTAGGACAACAAGCTTTTATAAGGCCCAGTGATTTGCAGGCTTCCTTTGGGAGAATGCAAACAAAAGAATGGAAATTTCTATTCTTTTATCTTGTTCTGTGGGCAACTTTCTGTGTTGTATTTCCTTCATTTATATAAAAAGAAGAACAAACTTACAAAATGGCTATAAGAATTGCCAAATGGCTATAAATTATTATACGAATGCTAAAAGACATAAAATGTCATCTTCAGAATGCAAACTAAATAAAAAAGCACACACAAAAAAGCCTTGTCTTAGAAAAATTGTGCGTAAAGATAGAAAATCTGCCTGGTAGTTATTAATAATCTTATTACTCCAATACTCTTTTTTTTTTTTTTTTTTTGATCCTTGGGATAATCCACGTCAGTGCTACCCAACCCGGTGCCATGAAGGAAATGTTCTGTATTTGCACAGTCCAATATGGTGGCCACTAGATACATGTGGCTAATGCAACTAAGGAATTGAATTTTTATTTAACTTCAGTTTACCTAAATAGCTATAGATGCAAATATACTTGTCCTTTGCTTGTTTTTTACTGATTAGAGTTGAGATTTATCTAAACATCATTGCATGGGAGGTTTGTTTTGGAAACACAAGAATATGGGGCCAGGAAAGCCCCATCAGTGCTTGAGGCCCTCAACAGCAGGTCAGTGAACAGTGGGCCAGGAGGCCTGAGTTCTCATCCTGGCTCAGCAACCACTTAACTCTAGGATCTGAGGCTAATGATGTGACCACTCTGCGCCTCAGTTTCCTCACTTGTAAAACAAAGCAAGAGGATAGTTCCCATCTGGCTCTTAATTTCTATAATCCTATGGCTATGGTCTGGACCCAGAGATTCATGGAAAAGCTAATTTAGATAATATAACCAGCTGCCTGAAATCTTGTTGTGATTCCTTGCCTGTGTCCAATTCAGTCCCTCTGGCTCACAGGTGACACAGGCTGCAGGCTGGAGAGCTGACAAGGTGTCACTGACACTATGGAGAGTAGCCTGGAGGCTCCGACAGGCCGCTGAGTGGCCGGTTAATTGGGGTGCTGCGAGAGCCCCATCTCTTGCCAGGTATGCCAATGCTCTTCTTAATGTCCTAACTTCAGTCCCATCATTTCTGTAGCTAACAAGCCACTCTTTCAAAGGGCTCAGGAATCATTTTTAAATATCACTTGTACTTAAGTAATAGCACACGAAGAAACAGGCTTTGTTTGGTTATTACAGGAAACTGTCCAAGACTCAGCTGCTTAAGGCAAAAGCAGAAAGAACCTGGCGATGGGCCTGGTGCCTCCGGCGGGTAACAGGACAGACATGAAATTCATTAATATTAACAATCTCTACATTGTTCATTTTGGTGTTGCCATTATTTAAGAAGAGAAATCTCTTCCCAACAGACTGGCAGTGGGGCAACTAAGGTCTCAGCATCAGCTCCTTCCCACACTGCATGCTGGAGAACACATCAGAAACTCAGGCCCTACCCTCAGGAGGCGCCCTGTCCATGCTCAACTTAGCGCATCCTTTCGATTTAGGAAGAGGAGTCAGTGGTCATCCAACCCAGAGCTCTGGGAATTGCAACTCCCTTTTAAAATGCACTGCTTCACAGTCATCATGAAAAACGCGTCTGTCTTCCATGACTGCCTTTCGGCAGGGCAGAGTTTGCCACCTTTCTGACACAGCTATGTCTTAACTGTAGTGGCATCCAGGGCTGCTGAAAACTTTGGGTAAATTTAACAAAATGTTTTGGTTATCAGTTACGCCACCAAAAATATGTGAAAATAATGACACTCCCCTATTTAGGTGGAAGGTATTGTTACCATTTATCATGTGTACTAAACCTTTTGAGTCACTGCCACATAAATTATGGAATGAGGCCCCAAACCATCTCTGAGATGGCCACACATCAGCTAGTGAATCCACATGGAAAATTGACCAGAGCAAATACCCTAAACATTACAAAGTCAAAGCCCTTCTCTAAATGGTCAAATTGTCATTAAATAGCTTGAGCTCCTCTGAAGAAAAGGTTCAGGTTTCCTATATGTACATACACACGTATTACCTTATGATCAATCCTGCACTTTGACAAAATTAAAAAAATAGTTTCTTAAGAATGTACAGGACATCATTGTTATTCACAAACAACTAAGAAATAACACATTTGTGTTCTTGGGGACATTATGCTGGATTACCAAAGGTATTGCTGAACTGTGTTCGGTTGGGGGTCTCAAATGCTTGCCAGGGTAAAATGCATCCAAAATTCGTAGAGAACTATTCCTGCAGAAAAGATCACAGAACACAGGCATTTGGAAAAGGGAAACCTTATTACCTTATTTCAATGTGACTGCTAGTAAAAGGCACAAAGCTGGAGAACCCCCACAAAGAAGTAAATTTGGAGACATCTAGGGGGTACCTGATGGCTGAACAGACAATAACCCTCCCTGGGAAGGGAGCAAGGCAGCAGCTTAAGACAGCCCTCACCCAGGCAACTCATTTCCTTCTGTGATTTATCAGAAATAGTTCAGTGGACTTCAGGGCCAAGCAGGAGGCGTTTGCACAGGGAGAGGTAGGTGTTCTAGATGAACTTTTAGAAATGGCAACAGGGAAACAATCACCACAAGGAAGATTTATTGAGGGCTTCCCATTCCCAAAGCGCTTTAGGGACGACACCAATGAATCCTCTCTCCTGCGGCTGAGCTCAGTGTGACTGCCCCTAACTTTACAGACAGGAAATTCCTCCAGGAGCCCCTGCTTCTACAGCAGGTCTAGGGTATCCTTCCAGTCTGACTTACCTGCCAATGGCTGGATGCTGCTGAAGCCACCTGTTGGCTATGGGCAACTAATTGAAAGTGGCTCTTTGGATGATTGACAGGAGACTGGTTTCACCGTCAGTTAACTACAAAGAGAATCCTTGTAAAATGATAAGATGAAGACAAATATAGGGGGAAACTCAACAGGGGCCTGCGCTTCCCAAGATGAAGAATGATTTTTAACACAATGTCCCCCACTGCCTCCACAGTCCAACAACAAATGATTAAAGGGACCCACATCAAGGGGGGCAAACGAAAGACACACGACATCTGATTCCCTGCAGACTAGGTTGTGGTGACTGTGCTTCTCAAGGCAGGTAACTTCTGTTTTCACCACTGAAGATACTTTGCCTGGACTTATTTATGCAAGAGAACACGGTCAGTGCGGATTCACAACCCTCTCTACACACTTCAGAAGCCTGGGTGGTGAAAGCCAGTTCTTCCCCTTTGCAGAATCTTAAACAAAACTGAGGTTTACCCTGAGTCCTTTTCTTTCCTTCTCATTCTCAGTTACTGAATATCTGCTTTATGTCAGGCACAGTGGTAGGTTTGAAGGTGAGAGAGCTGAAAAATAGGTCATTTATGTCCTTCTGCTGCTCATGGCCAATTAGAAGAGACAGACATGGACACAACATAAAACCAAAACCAATGTGGTATAAGGCCTATAATAGAGCAATAAATAAAGGCCTGGAGTTAGTTAGAAACAAGTGACTCATTAAGCCAAGGGGATTGGGCATTTGGCATTCTGAACTATGCTGCATCCCTGTGAGCAATGTTTAAGTGAAATTTTTGTGTGTGTGTGTGTGGGGGGAGGGCGGATATCAAAGTCAAAAGACAACAGGCTATACCATTTCACCTAGTTGGCAATGGCATTGAAACGAAACAAAAAACTGGGGAGAAAAAGGCGGCTCTAACAAGGAAGGGAGCTGGGAAGGTGGGAAACGCGGCCCCAGAGCACAGCTCCTCTACAACCATGCATGTGTGAGAGGCACGGAAGTACCAGCAAAGACCCTGGCGCCGACGGCAGTCATGTGCATGGGTGACTTTGCACAGGGGACACAGCCTCATCCCCCAACCTGCTCTTGAAATGCCACCCCCTGGAGCCTGTTCCGCAAAGGACCTTCCATTTCCACCCTTCATTCTCACACGCTGTGGGAATCCTGTGGAGAGGTCACCCATTCTCAAGTATTTGAAAATAACTGCCCTCATTTTGACCATTAAACTCTAATCCCACAGCACACTCTGGCACCACCTCAAATTCAGCACACCTAAAGTTCATCTCTTCCGGTCTTCTTTTCCTCCAATCAGCTTTTAGGCTCATCTTCCCTGTCTTTCATACTGGCTCAAATTCCCTTCCCAACCAGCAATCCATGACCAGAAACAGTGCTGCACACAGAACATGCGTGTAATGCGGACTGGCTGCTTGCTCTGGCCTTTCCCTTCTCTGACCGCGGAACCTCAGAAACAGCGATTCACGGAAGCCCCATCAAGTGCATGGTGGAAGTGTGACATCCTGAAGACAGGGATGTCTCATTCATTCACTTAATCATATTTATGACGCGAGTCTGACAAATTCAAGGAGCTGGGGATACCGCAATGACTAAAGTGGGGGTAAAACAGTCTTCACGGAGTTATATTCTAGAGTGGGCATGAAATAGGCAAATAAGTAAGCCTTATCGATTAAAAAGACCGTTTTGACAGAGACAAATAAAGCATGCAGGGGAGGGCGTTGCAGGGTATTAAATAAGAGGGCTGCAATATTAAATAAGGTGGTCAGGGAAGGCCTCGTCTGGACGGTGAGGATGGTCTCAGCACATCCTCAAAACACATTTACTGAATGAATAGATTTAATACGGCACGCGAGAAGTCTTCAAAGCAGTAAAATTAAATCACACGTCATGTGATCTGTCGCCACTATTAAGAGCCATGTTATCCCGTCCAGTGCCGTCCTATTAAATCCGAGAGTCAACACACCTATTACTAGTCAGTTACTGAGTCATGCCTATTTTTCTCCAAATGCCCGCTGGGTCCACTTGTCCCTGAACAGCCACTGTCCTGATTCTGGCTATCCTCTTGTTCTCATTACATTATTATTAATATAAAACTGGTTGGTGGGCTTTCCTAATTTGGACTAAAGGACAAAGGCGTCACTGACCTTTGTGCTTGCCCGGCATTCAGAACTCCACCTACTTTTCTGTTAAATGCTGATTATCTGTCCATTCATTATTCATTTTATCATCTATCAATGGCAGAATTTAATCTCAGGCTGGTCTCTCCTCAACCTGCTTTTGGGCTACCTTTCTCAGTCGTAAATGATGTGTAATCAAGGAATACAACTGAAATGAAACGCCAGGCTAAGGAAGGCAGCCAGCAGTGTGAGGTTGGATGTGAACGCACTTGAGATTAAGGACGCCACTGTCTCCTTCCACTGATCTGGAAAATCAAAAGTTGACAGTCCATGGGAGCTAATTATGTCATATTAATGACGGTAGTTGTTTAGAGAGAAAACAGAATCCACTTGTGAAGAGGGATATGTATTTATTACATTCAAGTGTATTTTTCTTTTTCCCAAAAATGCCTTCAAACTCCAATATTTGTGAATAGTCAGCATAAAGAAAAAAATGATCTTAGAGCAGACAGAAACGTATGTCACAAACTTCCCATCCGGATGCTCATGCCCTTTGAGGTCTCTGGAGAACTCTTCAACCCACTCCTCCAAGATCTCTCATGTTGGTTTTCCACAGCCTGATCACCTGCATTTCAAACCTGCAGGAGAAGACGAGGAGCAAACAAAAGGGAGGCTCTGCAATAGGCAGGCCCATGTCATGATGAGGGCAGACACCAGGGTCTGAAGCAGCCTCGTGGTGAAAAGCCCACTCGCAGCAGGGGCTCAGATGTGTTCCCTAGCCATTCCCAAGGACGGCAGCACAGCGCAATTATTCATTTGTATAATCACAAGCTTGTCTCATCCAAGGGGTCACATTAAGCTCAATAAATTCTGCTTAAGGAGGCCGGGAAATATATAACTTGTTGTAAGAAGCATTCCTTCAAAATGAGACAACAAAGAGAAATGGTGCCTTAAAGGAGAAGCTTTCAACTGTACTGCAAACTTAGCTCATCAGACTGGCTCATTCCTCAGGGATGAGCTGAGATGTTACTCTGGTTTTCACACAGTGGCGTATCAAATGTCGAGATTTGTGTACCATCTAATTTGCTGTCATTCAATGCAACAACTGACTCTGCCTAAACTCTTCGGCTTTGTTTGGGTTAATGCTGACTAAGTATCCTGCTGGGTTTTTCCCTACCTGTGATTGTTTTTGTCATCTTGTCCGGGAGAAATAAGGGCGATGGGTGGAGTACATGGGAGCAATGAATGAGTTGTTCCCTTTTGGGAGTTTGTTTTTTCAGTCAGTAATGTATCATGAATCCAGAAGTAAACTTTAGTTCTTTCTCTTCAGCGCATCACAACAGATGATTGATGAGGTTTAAAAGTTGGATATAAAATGCCCCAAAGAGATGACAGTGATATCATTAAAGGGACAAGTGTACATTTCCTACAATTTTCCTGTCTGGACACAACAAAAGGCAATCAGATGCACTACAGTGACTGCACTGAATTCCTCGACAGCAGTTCAAACGTGCGCCTCTCTGACAATCTCAAAACAATTTGCAAGAGGACTTCCAGAGTTCTCTGCAGGCCACCTCATCCTGCATGTTTCCTTTCCATGCAAATATGCTGGTCTGTCATGCTACAAAACCACATCTCAAAAGGCAAAGGCCAAATGACATTCTACTTCGCTAGTTTTTAAATCCCTAAATTGTATCTTAAGATGAAATCAGTACCAAATACTACATTTTGATTTGGAAATCTATAGGTCCTGTCTCTTTGCTTCTTCTCTCTCTCAGCAAGTCATAAATTCCATTTAGCATCTTAAATCACCAATTAAAATAGGCTTTGATATTTAATTTGCTTATTTCTTAAAACACACACCATCAGATATAACCCCCTAAACAAATAAAAGTAGAATTATGTGCTAAATTATAATGGCTGTTATACTAAGAAGCTGAATATCATTACATCAAAACTCCCCATAGTTGATTTTTTTAAAGCCATTTCTTCATTTTTTGACACTACATCTGGCACAATGAATACAGATGATCATGTGTTTATATATCTGTCTAACTGCCTTTCCCAAACACAGCCAGATGGAGTCTTTCAGAATCAAATTAATTTCAGATTAATTCATTCTGGACCCACTCCAGTTTCATGACTCTTTGCTTTGAGGCAGCAACCAAATTGCTGTGAAGTCATCAACTTGAAAGAGCACAGGTTCCTCGATACCAAGGGGAAAAAACTGTACAATTCTGCGGATGCTCCCCCTACCCAAAAAGAAATCCATTCAGGTACCACAAGATGCCAGTTTAGGGACTGATCAACATTTCACAGTGTCAAAATCACCCAGGAAGAATTTTTCTTCTTGGATCCAAATAAGATCACGGTTAATTGTACATCCAATATTCATAATGCCTTTAGATGAGATGATTCCAGGGAAAATTAGCATCTCCATTAGAAACAGCAGAACCAAGGGTGTTAGGGTAAACTTGCCACATAAGCAGAGTCAGGTACGACCTGTGACACAAGAGAGTTACTCCTACACACACAAAGCGCATGTTCTCTGTCTCTAGCTGTAGCTACTGAAGGAACTATCAACAAATGTAACTGGGCTTTGCATGCTGTCAATCTCGGTGGATGCCTTTATTATCCTACTTGTTTCAATTGCAATTTGGGTTTCCATGGAGACACAACAGTCAGCTCTAGAAAATTATAAGATAAATGTCAGACGGTGATAACGGTGTTAATGAAGCTTCGGTGACAAGCAGCTCTGTGCTTCAAATAATAAGCCTATTTTCTATTAGCATATGTATAACCTGTCAAAAAATACCTGGAAGAGAATATTCAAAAATATCTATCTATATTTAAGAGGGGACAGGTGAAAGGCCCCTCTAGAATGGCTTAAATGTGGTGGGTCAACCTGAACAACAGCAAAAAAAATTAAATTGCCAGTTTCTTGGGAAAATTAGGCATGAGCCAACGGCTCTAAATGAGGCTTTAGCTGACATTCAGAAATACATGACTTCACTTGGTCGTAAAATTTTTTCTTGTAATGTGGTCCAGGGAATCTGTTTTTGCTTCTGGAAGGAAGAGCTCCACTTGCTAAGTCTGACCGTGGAAGATTATGAGCTTTAGAGAAATCAGCGCCACAGCCAAGCTCATGGTACCTGGATTGATGGAGCCCACCACCTCCCTCGATGCTGGGGTGCTGGATAACTCTAATGGGATTGCCAGAGTCCACAGCCATCCTTGCCTATTCCACAGCCAAACAGGTGCTACTGAAATTTTAGCAGGTCAGAGAAACTGACAACTGTGACAAGAGTTATGTAAGTTTGATGCATTCTGAAGACACAAGTTGAGACTATGGAATTGTGAACTACAGCACAGTTCAAGGAAAGATGCTACAGAAAGTAACTGAAGGAAAAATTTCCTTTTTTGGGAGAAAAGATTACTAAGAAATAAAGCAGATTTTTATGTTTTGTTCAAGAACATCCTTTAGGATTCTGAGTGAAAAGGTTAAAAGGTGACAAGTTGAAAGGGTGGGAAGTTAAAAGGATAATTTTGTAAGTCACAGTCTCTCTAGAAAGACAACACAGACTTGTATAGCTGATGCTATCTGACACCTTGCTATAGTCCCATTATTTAATCTTTCCCACCAGATTTTTTTTTTTTATTTAACAACTGTTTCCTGAGAACCTACTTGGTGTCATGCACTGTGTTCAGAACACAATGATGAACAATGCGTTGTCACTGCTCTTATATTCCTCATTGTTTAGTAGCTTCTACAACCTAATGTTCAAGGTCTTGAATGAGGTGTCACAAAGTTCTTTTCTTTCTGTCCAAACTTGGTCCAGTTTCGCAGTGACTACATGAATATGTTTTTGTGGGGCATGGCAACTCTATTGGCTGCACCCCTGCATGTGGAACAGCCCAAGTCCTCTCCCATCCACTTACTCCTACCCAAGCCCATTCTTCAAGAGGAAAATTCACAGGAGTCAAACCCAAGGTCTAGGATATAACTGGGCCATGGTGCTAGGGTCAGGACTTTCACTGCTGCTTTTGAAGAAACTACAGCAATTCTTGTTCCCTGAACAGCATTTCTTTTTCTCTTTACCAAGCTCTAACTCTGAAAGGCTTGTGTAGACTGCCCCACGCCTGCCTCCTACTCAGAGAGGGGGCTACTTCTCCCAAGTTGCAAGATGGAGCATGACCCGAGTGAGACTCAGGGCAGAGTGGGAAAAGAAGAAATGGTTTAAACCAGACACCCTTGTTTTTAGGAGAAAGAATATTCTATGTTTCCTAAAAGCCCTTATCTACTTATTTTTTTTTTCTTGACTCAATTCACCATAAGATGTAAACATCCAGGGACTCAAGTTAGGGTTTGGTCCAGAAAACACAGCCTCATTCCTCCTTTTAGTTCAAGGCTAAAATTATCTTTTGCTCTCTGTGGCCAGGTGGCTCTCTGGAGCCACAGGTTCTACAGCAAGGCTCATGGCCACACATAGGGTCCCCTGTGTATACGGTACTGATACATCTCCAGGAATAAGGTGATGGTAGAGTCCAGAGTTCAAAACTCTATCCACCTCACTCAACTGGAAGGAACACAGCCTTGCCAAAAGACAAAATAAAAACAATACAAAACCAACAATCCATAAACTGTCGGCAACAGCAAAATCCTACACTATCGTTACTGACTCACACACTCCCTCGTCTCTTTCCCAGTTATCCCATCCATGGAAAAGATACAGAAGAAAAAACAATTCAAGTACACACAAAGCCCGGGATACTAGCAATATGGTTCTTTAATAGGGGCCAAAGTGGTAAGCTGAATCCAGGGAATATACAGGAAAAGCCATAAGGTTTAAATTTAATAACTTGATTTGGACTACGGGACCGGAGGTGGAAAACTTTCAGTTGTAAATTAAGGCTTAATATTATACTACTAAAAACTGGGTGGGGAAACAGCTGTGGTCATGGAAACAGACTACAAACAGCATGCCTTTCTCACCAACAAGTCTAACCAATTAAATAGCCTCATTCTTCCTTAACTAATATTTTGCTCCTGGACTTTTTATGATCTCACAACATTCTTGAAAGGTGTTGGGGAGTTGAATATTTAAGCCAAAAAGTCACCTGTAATCATTGTTGATATTTTTATACTACTGAAATAATTACTGTTCTTCTTAATAACCACACAAAGCATCTAACTGTAGTTCTTCAGTGTTAAAATGACAGGTCTAGACTGGGGCTCCAAAATTAATCATAATTTTCCTGAATTCATAACATTTGCTAAATAAACTCATTGGAGAGACGGGAGCTCCACATGTGAGAGAAATAAACAGATTATAATTTAAGTGTTGCATAGCACAGCTTCAAAAGCAAATGCAAAAGTGAAAGCTGAAAACAAATGGCTGCCCAGGTGTTTTGTTTTCTTCCTGCTGGTTGACATGGGGAGGTTTGGGTACACAGAGGCAGCTCAACTGCTGATCTGGAAGCTGGAGCTCAGTGCAGCCACTGTTGGTTCAACCATAATCTCCACTTTGAATGGTGTCAAAAGTATCTTTTAGATTTTAGGTTTGTATGTTTGTTCTTGCAGACCATTATATAAGGGCAATCAAACAAAAGAAACTAAACAGGAATTCCCAAATCAATGAAGTCATTCAAGTATGATTATGAAGGAAGTCTTTTCAAAACAAGGTGGATCGCAAGTTCCTCTAAGACATGGCATGCAGGGTTCATGTTTAGATAGCAGTGCACACACTTGCTATGCTGGGAGGGGCGTCACAAAGTAACTAGGTCAAAATAAAGATTATAAACCACAAAAAGCGTGATACCTGTGCTCTTGCCTTCAGCTCTACATTTTCTTTGAAAATCACAAAGTGTGTATGTTTGTTTTCTAGATGACTGATTTAGGGAAAACAGAACTACTTGGAAAGACTTGTGTCTTATGTTAGTAAAGACAACAATGAAACAGATATCACTGATGTTGAAAGCTAAAAACTCACCAAGGACAGGAGGATACAGAAATATTAACAACAACCCATATTACTACAAAAACAATTTTAATTCTCCTCCCAGGGTCATATGGTATCAATTTTGGAAACCACATTTCCCCTGGGAAATTTAACTGTGAGCTTTTCTGTGTCCATAGAATCACGGATATATTTAACAGGGGAAAGACATTAGGGTTTTTGGAGATCAACTGACAAGTGCTGAATACCTGAAGACAGTATATTTCCATCGGGGTCGATGCAAGATGATGAGGTAACTTCCTAATTATGGGCTTATAATGACACACACACTTAGCGATCAGCTTGTTTTTGAGGCTTCCATTCAGAGGTTTCGTTAGCAACCCAAAGAATCGTGATCTCTGTGGACAGCTTGGAAACGTTCTACCTCAGCACACAGGAACATGAGAAGCCAAAGAAAGTCAGTGAGAGCAGAGCACGGGAGATGCAGCAGTAAGAGGAACACGAAATGTGTCCTGACGCCACCCTCACAAGGCGCAAAGCCTCGGGTTTACTTAGTACACTGCTTCTGGAAATCCCACCTCCTCTGGCCACGGGGCTCATATTTACTTTATAGAAAAGATTCGTTCCTGAGGAATTTTCACCTAGATGACATGAAACCCACAGATCTGTGCATTCAGCTATGTGGGAAATAAAACTGCATCTGCTGATGAGGGTGGGGACATTTCCTTAATATATGTGTCAATAGGTCAGGCGTGGTGGCTCATGCCTGTTATCGCAGCACTTTGGGAGGCTGAGGCAAGTGGATCATCTGAGGTCAGAATTCAAGACCGGTCTGGCCAACATGGCAAAACCCTGTCTCCACTAAAAATACAAAAATTAGCTGGGTGTGGCGGCACACACCTGTAGTCCCAGCCACTCAGGAGGCTGAGGCATGAGAATCGCTTGAACACAGGAGGTGGAAGTTGCAGTGAGCCAAGATCGCACCACTGCACTCCAGCCTGGGTGACAGAAGGAGACTCCGACTTGGGAAAGAAAAAAAAACACCTGTCAATAATGCCAGTGTGGTGGCAGGGACTGGGCAGCATTCAGAAGGAGGTTACTCTCCTAAATGGGTTAAAACTCAGGACAAATGCATTCCAGCTCAGAGCAAGGTCCCTAGTGATACCAGAGTGATGAGGTTTATTGAGGCTATTTTTAATACACTAACTGGCCTTTACTGACAGGCTACTGGGCTTGCTTTGTGTGTGTGTGTGTGTGTGTGTGTGTGTGTTTGGTTTAAGATAATAATCGATAACAACAAGGGCAACTAGCTTGGCTGGCTGGAGGCAGATATTGCTCTTCCCCCGCTTAATTAACAAAAACATTCCAGAACCCTGACAGAGAAGAATAATGGTGAAATAAATTATGGAACCACTTATGTATGAAAGCATACATTATTAAAACTACTCTAAATGGGTCCTTAATCTAAATAAAGATGGTCATTTTAGGAAGCCAGGCATCTCAAGAATGAGAAAGGACACAATGCTATCGTGACCCAAGACAGAAAAGGTGGATCGCCTTGCCAGCAGACAGTGAGAGTGTCAAACTGCCCTTGACTGTGATTAAAATTCATATATGTCTCTAACACTGGATGCGTCTCAGCTTCAATTATTTACAGCCCTGTATTTCTATTGGTTAAAGATAGGAGAAAAAAGCATATTGGGCAAAACTCACTACTAATATTTACACTTGGCCTATTCCAGACCAGTCAGCAAAAGCAATGCCTTCCGTTACACGCTGTGTGAAGGCAGGCACAGGCCTCCGCTGGCTAAATCTGAACAATGAGCAATGCCCACAGCTTAGGGTTCTCACTGTTGCCCAAAATACCAATTGAGTACGGCTGAAATACCTTTTACTCTCTCAGTTGTAATATTAGTACGGCTGAAATACCTTTTACTCTCTCAACTGTAATACAAGGAAACTTAATGCACACATTTAGAAAAAACAGAGGAGCCCCTTCCTTATCAAGCCACGTTCTTCTTGCCGGACTGGGGTCACTTTCATGGCTGTTCATTTATGCAAATAAACAAGCAGCGCTCTCGTACTTTAATGTAAAATCTATCTTACATACATGTACTATTTCACACACCTTCCTCATTCTGCCCTGTGGCCGTCTGAGGGAGAGAGAAACCTCTTTGCTGCCACTGTGCCATGCCTCCTGCTGGGAGGAAGGAAATCTTGCCTTGTGTGTGAGCCCAGGCGAGGCTCTGCTTGGCAGTTTTACAGACCTGTGGTCAGGTGTTCACAAAAATGGATTTGCAAGTGATACAGTAATATGAAATCTCAACTCTATGCCGTGGAGATAATTATAATCAGGACAATTTCCTCCTAACAAAATCGGCAAACCGTTATTATGTGTGTTTCTGTAACTTAAATTCTGCATTAAATACAAGAGGAATCCACTTGCCTTGCATATATTGCCATGTGATTATGAAACGCTGAACCAAATCACTTTAAAAGACTCACCCTACTTAACAAAGGCATCCTGGTTTATATGCATAAAAGCCACACTCCAAAAAGCTTATGGGGACAAGCTTTGCACATGCATTTTATTTTTTAATGACTACAGAAGCTCCTGGGGCTCACGATATTAAAAGAAACAAAAAAGGAGGGAAGTAGCTTTGGTTTTTAATTACTTCTACCTCTAAATCTAACAATCTTAAAATAAGTGTTCTTTAAATATTTAGAAACAAACTAAAATGCGACCCATTTGACTTGTCCAGACACTGGTTTTGTGTCAGTACCACTACTGCTGGCACCACAATTTCTCACCAAGAGGGCAAAGCCAGAGCAAATGAAAAGTATGATTCCTTTTCCCAAAGTATCATCCTTCACAAAAACAAAAACCTGAAAATACCAAGTAGCAGTTTCTCTTGAATCCATCATCCCTTTTTCATTCCTATAGTCACCTTCACTGTGTATCCTGGCACACTCAAGCAGAGAGCCTGGCAGGCACAAGGGAGTGGGTGGGTGGATGGATGAAAGATTGATCAGATAAATAAACAGGACGTAGTAATGTGTCTCTTAGTTCAGGCACTGATCTCATTCTAATGACTTCCAGTAATTTTTATTTAGGCATCTTGCAATCTGAATGTCAATTTAGAGAACTAGATTGACCAAATCAGCTCCATCTTCTTCTTTCAAATAAACACATCCTTTCTGATGTCACACACCAAGGCTACAGGCTGGCTGCTGAGCTGCCTTACTTTTCACCCGTGCTATCAGGACGTCCAGGCAAAGATAACACTATGTGGATAAACACACCTGGGGATGTGGCTATGAGTTGCAAATGCAAGATGAACTTATCTGATGACAGGGAGAGTCAAGGTGCCTCTGGCCTCACATGGAAAGAATCCTGAAAAGTCCTCTTAGATTATGAGAAAGATTCCATTATTTAGCAATGGTATATAGTAACAAATCACCGACAGAGCACATGAGCGTGTGGCCATTGGGGAATGATGGAATGTGGCTTAGTGACCCCACGTTATTCTTCTCCAATCCACTTTCTTTGTGAGTAATTCCCTTCCACCAGTTAACCATGACCACAGACAGGCCACACAAGGAGTAATAAAATGGAAAGGGAAAACAAATTGCTTGTTTAGATGATAACAAAGATATTTCCTCATTATGAAAGCTGGATTGTTCAGACCTGAAACACAGCTATGCTTACACATTATCTTATCCATTTTTTAAGATACGTGTAGAGATACAGATATATTCCATATGTTCGAAAAGATACTCTGGTAGAAAGCTCGATTAATTACACTTTGGGTCCTTTTGGAAAACCCTCACATGAACATGTGGAAAATACTGCTAATAAGGTGTCATTATTTGAATAATTCATTCATTCACTAAAATGAATCTCTGTAAAATACTACAAAATATTTGTAGGAAGTGTAGTAAATGGAAAAGAGGGAGGGTTTTGATGCTTCAGACCCAAGTTCAGATCCCAGCTCCTGAAGCTTTCTTGCTATGCAATCCTGGGCTGGGATCAGAGTGCCAGATCCTACAGCAACAGAACAAGCACAAAGAGGCCCACCTCTCCATGCTGTTGTAAGGATTTAGTGAAATGTTTTACACCGTCTAAAAGTACCAGAGGAGAGTACAGGTAGGTATTCTCACAATGTTCTTGGATTTTAAGTAGTAGTTAGAAAATGAAAAAGAAAAAAGTATACATAAGGAATAATTCTCTCATAAAATGTAAACAACGTATATAAAATCCACATTTTAAACAGAAGCTACCTGGCCTAACCTGATCCCCAGCACCCAGAACGCTACAGTAGTGCAACCAATACTGGTAATGACACTAAAAAAAGAAAAATAAATGAAGCAACTTCTTATCTACCACAGAGGCCTGGCTGGATTTTCTAAAGCATGTCTGGTTTATGTGCAGTTGTTCTACATTCAGCTTGAAGGGAGCCCTGCACAGAGTGCTACAACCTCTCTGCAGTCACCCACAGCTCACTTCCGCTCTCCACTTCCTGCCTTCAGCGTCCCCACCCTTTTCAGTAGCTGATTTGAGAATATAGATTTCCCAGAAAAATTCTATCCTTTAATATCTCCACCCCACCAACTGGTTCTGTGCGGACAATTTTACCTGATTCTTATATTAAATGCAATCACTCACCAGGCAGTCATGTTTTCAAACGTGGGAGTCCTGCATACAACCTGCTATTATTTGCTTGGTCAGCACAAAGCACCTTTCAGAGACGCTCCTGAATCCTGACACTCCTGCAAACCCATCTGAAGCTCAGCCAGCTCTTTCAACAACACATAAAAGTATCTGTGCCACACAGATGCCTGAGACTCACTTATAGAGCAATTACAAACCTTGAGCAGCAGCAGTGTTTTACATTTGTTCTGTTCTGTATTTTTAGCCTGGGCTTTTTCCTTTCATGGATTATGGTAAATATAACATTTGCTTCCAGAATGTGGGACTTGCTGGGATAATAAAGGAAAGTACATAACAAACAGATTACCTTTGGCTACTGCATTACAGGGAGGAACACAGTTATGCTAAGTGGATGGATTTAGTTATATTCAAATTCTATTAAGCTGCCTTGCCTTCGACACAGAAATAAACAAGAAAGTCTTACAGCTTCGCATATTTTCAACTCTCCACTCCCCAGTCAGGGCTTGGCGAGGGGTGCCTTTTTTTTTTTTTTTTTTTTTTTCTGTTTCCTGAGACAGGGTCTCCCTCTGTTGCCCAGGCTTAAGTGCAGTGACACAATCATGGCTCACTGCAGCCTCAACCTCCTGAGCTCAAGTGATTCTCCCACTTCAGCCTCCCGAGTAGCTGGTACGACAGGCGTGCACCACCACACCTGGCTGATTTTTTATGTTTTGTACAGATGGGGTCTCCTCATGTTGCCCAGAGTGGTCTTGAACTCCTGGCTCAAGTGATCCTCCTGCCTCGGTCTCCCGAAGTGCTGAGATTATAGGCATGAGCCACCGTGCCTGTCCTTGGGGGTGCTTTTTTTTTTTTTAAATAATACAGTCTATGTTTTTGAAAGTTTGTTCCTGAAGTTTCTTTCCTTCATTTAACATTGTCTAATCTGCTTTCTCAACACCAATTCAACACAGGAGCATGGGAGAGCCAAGTTAAATAAGCACGATAATTCTGCTGGAAACTACATACAGTCTGTTGCGTAGAAGCATACAGTAAACATTCTGCACCGAGCACTGTGTTTCATCCCCAGCAGATGACATTCCTTATGACTTTATATCCCATGGCTAAATTGATTAATATAATATCGAACTACTATTTGTGTATTTTGCCTAATTGCCCAACTACATAAATCATTATGAGCAAGAGGGACGGTTTTTTTTCCTTCTTACTCACAAGCCTGCTGCTTTTCTGACCTTGCCACGCATTAGCGAGAGTAAGTTGTAAATGCAGAGCTGCAAATGTCTTCCGAAGGCAATTACTGTGAAACTTTGTTCTAACATTATGAAATGCGGCATTTTCACTAGATAATGTCCATATTAACCAACCAGAGGCCTAGAGAGTGAACCCAAAAATGAAAAGAAAATGTACCACTAGCAAAGCATTAACTGCAGAAATGCCAAGCAGCTTTCTCAGCCAATTGAGTGGCAGCACTGATACACAGCAGTGCTGGGAATATACAATATTTAAAGAGCTGTCTCCTTCAGGTCTGTGCATTTTATTTGTTTCCTTTTTGAAGAATAAAGTAAAGACATTTACCACTCTGAAAAACAATTTAAGTCAGGTATAAACTTTGAAAAGAAATGTATTTTAATAAAAGATGAGAATAAATGCAAATATATGTCTAGAGACTTTCTAACGTAGATGCTTGGCAGAACACTGAAAAGGTTAATGCAAGGTCTATACTAAGACTGGTGCCTTTGGTAGCCATTTTGAAATAGCGAAATAAGCATAAAATATTGCAGGGCACGTTAAACTGTGTGGGGGCCTGAAGTTCTCAACGTGAGATATGCAAGAAACTACAAATAAGGGAAGAGGAAAGCAATGGTATGCATAGTAGAAAACATCCAACTAATTCTTCTGGGGTGGAAATCATTCCAAATGCAGATGAAGTCAGGAAGGCATGAATGGCAGCAACTGTCTGGCCTGGAAGGGTCCGTCAGTCAGACAAAACCGGAACTTGAAGTGAGAGGAAGCACACATATGGCGATCTTAAGCTGCAATGGTCAAGTCCCTAGGGCCTGAAACAAAGTGAATTTGTTTTTCTACAAGTCTCTAGCATTTCAAGGGTTTGCCGATTTCCAACAAACCAGAATCATGATGATTAAAGAACAGCAAGATATTTCATTAAACTGGATATTAGAACTGTGAAAAGGTGACAGAAGCCTATTAAGAATTGGTGGGATAAGGAAGAACATTTTTACCATCTCCAAAACCCAAGAGATATGGAATGGAAAAGTGTCCATTACAGGCACACAAAGGAAAAAGAGGACAACAGGAGGAGAGGAAGAAGCACGAGGGGAGCGAGATTCCCCAGTGGAGGGAGGACAGAAGAATCACGAGGGGAGTGAGTCCCCCCAGTGGAGGGAGGACAGAAGAATCACAAGGGGAGTGAGTCCCCCCAGTGGAGGGAGGACAGAAGAATCACGAGGGGAGTGAGTTCCCCCAGTGGAGGGAGGACAGAAGAATCACGAGGGGACTGAGTAACCCCAGTGGAGGGAGGACAGAAGAATCACGAGGGGACTGAGTCCCCCCAGTGGAGGGAGGACAGACCTTGGCTCTACCAGAATCTCTTCCTAACTACCTGGCCTTACGACTTACCTTCCCATTCATTCCACGCACCACTACTGAGTTCTTTTTCCTAACTACAGGTGTGTATTTCTCGGATCCTGTGGTCATTAATCTCTTTATGACAGCCCATCTGCTTTTTTTTTTTTTTTTTTTTGAGACAGCGTCTCGCTCTGTCACCCAGGCTGGACCGCAGTGGCATGATCTCGGCTCACTGCAAGCCCTACCTCCCGGGTTCACGCCATTCTCCTGCCTCAGCCTCCCGAGTAGCTGGGATTACAGGCGCCGCCACCATGCCATGCTAATTTTTTTGTATTTTTAGTAGAGATGGGGTTTCACTGTGTTAGCCAGGATGGTCTCGATCTCCTGACCTCGTGATCTGCCTGCCTCGGCCTCCCAAAGTGCTGGGATTACAGGCGTGAGCCACCGCGCCCAGCCCAGCCCAGCCCATCCACTTTTAATCGTCACTCCAAAGTTCTTCACCACTGGATCCAACTGATACTTTCAGTTCTTACCCTATTTTCCCCCATAAGAACCATAGGGCACAAACTCTTCCACCCTGTTGTCTGCCTCTGGACACTTCATTCACTTCTGCGCCCTAGAATTCGTTTCCAAATCAGAATTTGCTCCCATCAAGAAACAAGTTATCATTCAAGATACAGTGATCAATTCTTCTCTAAACGTACCACATTGTCATCTATGTAAGCCATCTGATGGGCAGTCACACTTTATGCAATCTCAGATGTTTTCATCTCAGGCAGCTACCTGGTTAAGGTATTACTTAACAAGTGGGAAAGTATGATGTCGTGGGAAGGCATCTTGCCAAGGAGTCCAAAGACCTTGTTTGCAGTCGTTATCTTCATTACTTATAAAGAGGGCTACAGGACATGACTTCATCTAAGCTACAGTCTCTCATTAATAATATGTCAGCTGCAATAATGTGATAGATTACAGTTGTTTCAAGGATTAAAACAGATACTATATGTGAAACTACTGTGCACGCTATTGAAACACTACATACCATACATTATGTTTTTATCTTTCCTCCCAACTAGACTAAATGTCTTGAGGGCAGGAACCAGGTCTAACAGTTCTCTGAATTTTCAGCCTTATCTATCAAGGCACATCACCATGAAACAGGAACTAAATAAACATGCAATGATTGATTAGTCTGCACTTCAAAGTCAACAGTGAAGGGCCTGAGGAACTGAGGACTGTTGCTTTTGTATTCTTCCCCACCCCAGGTTGTCTAGTCTAGACCACACAAATGTGTTTTCCACTTGGCTCCCCCAGAAAAATCTTCCAAGAACGTCAATCTGCTTCTGTTGCACCAGGTCCTTAAAATCTTTTACAGTTCCTGTAGGTACTCTTCAAGCCTTTCAGAATAATGAAGGCTTTTCAGGAGCTTTCTTGTGGCTTATTTTATAGCCTCACTCTTCCCATCCTACCCCTCCGAGTCTCTGCTCCTGACTGGTCGGCCCCCTGGTCCTCAAATGTGCTGAACTCACCCTTCCAATGTCCTCCATCGTGGGGACTGCCCCTTGCCTTTATTCCTTTTGCCAAATCCTATTTAACTTCACAACACTTCTCAGGGAACTATTCTGCTCCATCCAGTAACCCCAGCATAGGTTAGGGGGCACTGTGCTAGGAACCTCAGCTCCACATAATGACTTAGACAAGAGCTTCCCCACAAAGGAGTCAAGCATTCAGAGTTTCATTCTCAGACCTGAGCACAGCGCCCGGCATGTGGTGAGTGTTCAAAAAATTGTACTCAATGAATGACTCTACGAATACACAAAAGTTAGCAACTATGCTTTATTTTTTTAAGACAGGGTCTCCTTCTGTCACGCAGGCTGGAGGGCAGTGGTGTGATCACGCTCACTGTAGCCTCAACACCCCCGGCGCAAGCGACCTTCCCATGTCAGCCTCCCAAGTAACTGGGAATACAGGCGCACTCCATCATGCCTGGCTAATTTTTAAATTTTTTGTAGAGATGGGTTCTTGCTGTGTTGCCCGGGCTGGTCTTGAAATCTCGGGCTCAAGCAATCCTTCCCACCTTGGTCTCCCAAAGTGCTGGGATTACAGGCATGAGTCACTGCGCCTAACCCTTATTTTTAATACAAATAAGTGACTGGCACTATCCTAAAAATTGTTCTAATTTAACAAATTTGAGAGTATTAAATCTTAAATAGCGAAATTTATAAGTGACAAAGCAAATACAGTATTGTGTACTTTTTTCCAATATACCAAAACTTATTCATAATTAAAAATTCACATGCTCATAAAATACAGTAAGTCTTGTCTACATAAATACAAACACAGAAGAGCTACATGACGCTAAAGGTGGATGGACGGGTGACTATTGCACACCTACAGTATTTCACAGAGAAGCATACCAGATAGTTGAAATGGGGCACTTAAATGTCTAAAGACGGAGTTGGGCATGGTGACTCACTCCTGTAATCCCAGCTACCTGGGAGGGTGAGATGGAAGGATCACCGGAGGCCAGGAGTTCAAGGCTGCAGTGAGCTATGATTGCGCTACTGCACCGAACATGGGCGACAGATTGAGAACCCGTCTCCTAAACAAAACAAAAACAAAAACCAACATCAAAAGATGAAATCTAATATAATTCTTGCCCTTTTGGGTACCTATAATTGGGGAAGAGTGAAAATATACCAACCAGATTTCTTTTAAGGCAAATTTAGTTACGGTTAGGTACTTCTGACTAACTGATTGAGCAGAGGCAGTTTCTCAAAAGATAAAAGTTGGCTCACCATCTCTCAAAAACTAAAAATGTCTATTTTACTTTAAATGAAATCCCACGAAACCATTTCCGGTTTGAACCTCCTGGAAAATAACGCAAGTGAGAAATTGAAGATGGCTTACTCTACCATATTAACAGTGGAGACGAAGAGAAATGAGCCGATGAGAGAGGCAGAATTGAGAGGTTTGTTGAGATGACCTGAGGGGGTGTTTGCTGAATAAAAAAAAAAAAAAACTGAATGATGTGGTCTACTTTAGGGTACTGGGAAAGGAAACGGGGAGAGGTAAAGAATAGGTATTTGTGCAACTAAAATTTAGAAGAAGCATAAGGCAAGTCATCAGATAGCAGGGGGTAGGTAAGAAGGAAGAGTTAAACTCTTTAAAAGTGTTACCTAAAATAGACTAATAATGGAAAGATGTATACATTAATTGCACTCAAATAACTCACAAGCTTGAGCGATACCTTCCTTGTAGGTTACATTTTTACATAAAAATCACATAATCTATATGGAAGTTTCATCCCCAAAAGTAACTAAACTATTTATAAGAAAACACTGATATGGCCCCTTTTATTTAGCACATAATACCATAAATAATAATGCAAAGTTTTCTAGACAGTTTAAAATATTCCTCGAAAGTCAATCAAGGGTTCAAAAATAATCCTGAATTTTAACAGAATTTCTTTCCTCACTCTTTTCAACTATTTAGAACTGTGTTTTGCAAAGACAATGTTTCTTGAAATTTCATTTAAAATTTTAAATTTACAATGAAAGCATGATGATTCATGCACTATGTAAAAGGATTTAAAGATAGTAGCAAGCTATAAAATTCTGATAGTTTTCTTCATTGTTTAAAACTACTCATTTCAGCATAAACTCCACATTTATTTATTTCAGTTTCCTTACAAGTAACATTCTCCAGAGCATTACTGTTTCCATAGATATTCTTTATACAGGGCGGCTGAAAAATTCTCAGTATGATTAAGGTAATTCACTTTCATGACTTAAGTAATTGAGCCTATCTTTGCAGTTATTAATTATAATTACATTATATGTACTTTCCAAAAAATAGAATAAATATAATTGCCATAACTGTACTGTAAAAAACAGTAATTACATATTAACTCCCATCAGTTCAGTCACATACCACTGCACTTAATGCCTTCAGTATGTTCCAGGCTCAAGTTAAATGGTAAGCACCAACTTTCCCACTTACACTTGATAATTTATGGCCGTTTTCAGTCACAGCACCCAAGGTTCCATCTTACATCATTATAAATTGTTTAGGAGGGAGAACACTGCTCTGTTTAACACACACGAGAGATGATTTCCTACTGAACACATGCCACTCATTTTAGCATCTTGGCTTCTTTAAAGAAAACAAGATTTGAAATACAATAAACAAAGCCAGTTCATGACACCTGCCCCCAGTCTTCTAAAAGTAAACGTTTGGCAGTATGTTTTCAGGCTCATCTTTTTACTGTTCGATGATAAATTCTTTGCGAGTTTGCACCATAGCACCCAGCAGAGTATCCCGATCCTGTGTGTGTCATAGCTGTCGGTGTGTAAACACAGAATGAATAAAATAAGTCTGTCAAGGAAGAGACCCAGGACAAGCATGGAAAAGCTGTACCGTCTTGAACAGCAATGGCCACTCAGAAGCTCTCTGTGCTGCAACCGAAGGCTGGGACAGTTGAGAGCTACAGAGAAAATGCCCAGGAAATGTCATACTCTGGGACTTTAGTCTGAGCCTCAGGATAAAAAATAATTCCATTTACGTGTCTCAGTTTATTTTTTAGAAATGATCTAATATTTAATATGTAAACATCTCCAAGAAATGGCAGCTGCTGGGAAATGAAAATTCCATAATCATTACTGTCAGTATTTCAAAGTCTCTTATGGAAATTGCTATATTCTGTTTCCATATAGTTTCACATTGTGCTAATTTTGTTTATTTTAATGTGCTAGAAATAACTTTAAATTTGTGTCTAAAAAATATAATTAATTAGGTCTATATTCCAAGCCAAAATTCATCTATCATCTAAATCTGTTTTTCCCCCATTTTTATTGGGGCACAATTAACAAACTGTGCAAATTATTTTTACCATCCTAAATTGAACAAACACTGGTTGGTATACATGCTATGAATGACTAAACAACGTACAGTCAGATTCTCCTCTTTGGGTACACATTACAAGGGAACACTTGAAGCTTGGCTCCAAATTCTATAATTTTCAATCACTGAAAGAATATGGATAATTCTGTTTTTAAAAGTTTACACAATTGCTGAGATCCACACAGAAATGGTATTTAAAAAGGACAGTAAGTTACTCTGTGGAGCTGAATTTGTCGTACTTTTCAGGGAAAGGCAAATTAATATACACGCAGTAGGCTCTTTTAACTAACTGAGAAAATGATGATGATGTAATGAGAGTCAATAATGGAGTGCTTAATGTATGCCAGACTTTGGGTAAGTGCTTAACATCTATTTAACATTTTCTATATCCCTATCAGATAAGTACTATTACTCAGGCCATTTTATAGAAGAGAAAACTGAGTCTAAGAAATTTAAGTCCTGTGGCCACACAATATAGTCAGAGTACACACATGTACACAAAACCATCTGACTCTAAAACCAAAGCTCTTACCCACAGCATTGTACTAACACGGCTTCCACCCTCTGGAATTTATATGCATCCAACTCCCAAAGAATATGCCTTAATTTCCAACTATTTAAGTCACAGAGGGCTAACTCCAGAAGATCTACTGAAAAGTATTAAATAGAACATTTCTAACTCTACTCTATTGACTCCAGAACTCCCAAGCGAGGATCTTCTGGTCTACTTTAGAAAGCCAACCTACAGCAATCTCTAACATTTCAAATGATCCAAAAAGCTCTTACACCATAACTTTTCCTTACTTTATTCTGATATCACATTGTATTTTCCAAGCTGTACACTTTTCACATGTGCATGTGCATACATACATAGGTATATACATATATAATCTTACATATATGCCATATAGTCACATATACACATATATGTATGTATTTAAATTAGATAGCATTTTGAAAAAGAAAAAAAGCTTATTTTAACTGAATATATTTCTAAGTAATTAGAAATTCACCTTTGCTTTATGGTTGGATAATATTAAGTCAGCAGAATGATATGCCATCTGAAGCAGAGGTGGCCTGTGTTTCAAAAATTCCAAATACCTTACGGCAGCAAATTGTAACATCCTAATAGTGATGTTTAAATTATAAATATTAAAATAACAAAACACTAGAAGTAGGATGGAATCAGGATGTGGGAAAATTGAGGTGGAAGGAGACATTCGGTGAAGAGCTAGTGACAGCCGGAACACTGTTATTGTTAGCCTTACTCACTTAGCAATTAACCAGGTTTGTCTGCTATCGTTTAACTTCGTTTTTTTCTTTATATTTATTTATCTATTAATTTATTTATTTTTGAGATGGAGTTTCGCTCTTGTTGCCCAGGCTGGAATGCAGTGGAGCAATCTCAGCTCACTGCAACCTCCGCCTCCCAGGTTAAAGTAATTCTCCTGTCTCAGCCTCCTGAGTGACTGGGATTACAGGTGCCTGCCACCATGCCTGGCTAATTTTTTCTTATTTTTAGTAAAGATGGAGTTTCGCCACGTTGGGCAGGCCAGTCTCGACTCCTGACCTCAGGTGATCCACCCACTTCAGCCTCCCAGAGTGCTGGGATTACAGGTGTGAGCCACCGGGCCCGGCCAAGTTTAACTTTTCATATGCTGTTTTCCCAGCCAGAATATAAGATCCTCAGAGCCCAGGAACCATGCTATATTCTCTATCATCTCAAGTAGTCAGCATAGTACCTTTCTCCTGAGAACTGAATAAATATTTGCTATTTGGCTAGTTGATTGAAAATCTCCATCCCAGGTTTCCAGTTGTCTTTCTGAACCTTCCAATCCAAGGTTGAATTGCATTTCTCAGTAAGTATAAAGCAGCATACTCAGGTTCTGCATCTGTTTTTGTACATCCCTATATTCCCACCATCTAGCCAAGTGCCTGTATATTATAGTCCACCAGTAAATATTTGCTGAATGGACGTAACTATTCTCAAAGGGCCATGAGTTACTCATGAGTGTGGTCCAACTGCCAATCCTAGGCTCCACCCCAGAGAGTCTGATTCAGCAGGTCTAGAGTGAGATGCTAGAATCTGTACCCTTCCCCACCACCGCCCAGGCCATACACATTATTTACAGACCTCAGACCATACCTTGACAAGTGCTAGCCCTATCCCTTTGCCTCTAGGACTCCAGGAAAAATTCATTAGTCAGGGATGCCCATGCAATTTGCCCAAAATGTGGGGGAGCAGTAATGATGGATTTCATAAAGGGAGGATGAATGAGAAAAGGACTAAGTGTAGCTCAGAGTACCCCTGACTCTAGGACTCAAAATTGACATCCCTCTCTTGAGCAGGAGGCACAAATGACGGTGGCTATTTAGAAGACAGTATTTCACAGAAAGGCAAGGGTCTTTCCTGTAGCATATTTCATAGGCATTGATACAATTGCTTTAATTTTTAGAAAATCTGTTAGCTAAGTGTTGAACTAGAGTGGAGTTTAGAGGAAATGCACGTTTCACAGACATTCAATGGTTTTTTGACAAACCAAAAGAAACATAATGCATGAGCCATGCACTTGGCCTGGGCCTCTGCCCTCCACTATTTCACGTCATGTACGAGAAAAGACTTGTCAGGGAAGGGAGAAATTGCTAAAAAGAGGTGTGCAGGTTAATATAGACGCTGCATATAAATTATTTTAAAACAAGTACTGAGACATCAGTGGCACTGCTGGAGAACCCCACGGCAGTATTTTAAGTTAAGAGAGAGCATTAAACAGCATCGGCACATGATGCCAGAGCTGGTCAGGACCAGAGACTTCTCAGGAGGAAAAACACAGGGAGTCGGGACCAAAGCAGCATTTTTTCCTCAGGGTGTCGCTCAGCCTCTCAGAGCATCAAGTCAACCTAACACCCATCTACAAGACTAACCTTTAAGGATTTTGTGAAGGTGCAAACACTGGTATTTGAGGGCCATGCGAAGATCTAAGATTTTAAACAGCATTGATGCTAGACACTGCAAGGTAGGGGATATTTTCTCAAGCCAGCGGCCACAGCTATTTCAATTACAGAAAAGAAAAGTGTTTCAATCAGAAAGATAGACACGTGCCCCTCCTTAGATTCACTGCATTTCCCTGCCACTTCCTATCAGGAGGAACTCTAACAAGGTGGAGGCTGAGGGAGGGTAGGTTCCCGGGTGTTCCTTGCTCTCTCCTCGTGCCCTGCTTCTCAAATCCCACTGCCAACAGAAGCACTAATCCTTACAAACAAGCGTGTGTTCATTCACTCAGCAGGAACTTACTGAAGGTCTGTGAGCAGCAGATGCACCCTTCAAGGTGCTGGAGACAGCGGTAACAGAGAGGCACACAGTCTGTGGCTCCACAGAACAGCCCTGGTACGGAAGACAGAGTCACCTATGGGCACCGCCGAGGACAATCAGCACTGGAAGGACAAGCACAAGATGCCTAGGGAGAACACAGTCCATGTCCAATCACCCAGCAGCTCCAAGGCTTTGATCAGGCAAGACCTAATTCTATGCAAGCCTTCCCTGTGGCTACCGAAAGTTCCCAGGGGGATGAGTCTTCTGAGGCCACACTCATCCGCCCTTAGCAACTCCACCACTTTTTACTGTGAAGATGCGCAACTACAGAATCCAAACTCACCTAAGTAGTAACGTTAGATTCACAAAACACGGGGAGAGGCCAACGTTCCTCCTGCAGGGCCCCTGCCCCTTTGCACCCTCAGGCAGATGCTGCCACTGTGTTATTTATCTCCTCTAATCCCTTAGCTTTGCTGCAACAGGCCTTTGCTGGGGATTCATTCAGGCACAAGGAAGGGAAGGACGGCGATCCTCTTCTCTTTAGAAGAGTATAATTATATTCTTAGTAAAATATTTACAAATATCGCTATGCTAGTCATTTACAGTCTATGCAAAGTATACAATAATACGGAATTCCAGCCACAAATACAAAGAGAACCTATTTGTGACAAACGAAAGACAACTGTAAAAAAATACAACCAAATTTGCTGGCTAAGTGTCAAGTGTTTCAGCCTCTGCTTAACATCTGCTAAGCTGGGGAGGGGACAGTCTTTAAAGACTTCAAAGTCCTTTGTAGGTTCAGTCCAGAGGAATTACCTTCTTCTGTAAGAAGCTGTACCTTTTACTAGAACTCCAGGGAAGAGAGTCTGGGTCAGCAGAGACCCCAAAGTCAGGCCAAGGTGATAGGTGTGCAAGGCTGGGAAGGGCCGCCACAGGAATTTACTCAGCTGTTTTCAGACTCAGATTTCCCCTACAAAGCGGAGTGATACTGGATTGTACTGAGGATTAAATGAGATTATATGTATCAGATTAGGCTTAATGTGTATTATTTCCCCTTTGTTTTTAAGTATTGATGTTTGTGATTTTGTTCTGACATTAGTAACACATTCCCTATCTTGTATACGTATGTACAACTTTCCCTTTACAATGACCACAGTTATTACCATTAGTTGCAGGAGCACTGCACAGGCCTCTAAACTGTGAAAAGTAAAGAACCACCTCGAATGTTTCTTCTTCTTCTTGGTCCCACGGCATATGCTTTTGGATCAAAAAGATCAATGATTCAATGGGAGAGAGAGCAGTATTTGAATGTCTCTAGCTTTCAGGATTCTGTTTAAAGAATTCCATTCTAAAGTAAGAAATGTAGGTTCCTGACATCTTCAACTCAAGGCTCTAACAATCTGTTACTCTACCTGGTTGTCCTCTTCTTTAATGGTTCCTTGTGGATCCAAAGATCTCTTCGGGAGAAGTTAGATGTGTTTGCCTTCTTTCCTAGACTTTTATGTTTCCTGCTTTCCCATTTTACGATGAAATGATGCTAGCGTTCTAAAGTAGAGGACACATGTACTACAGCTGTCTTTAAGCTCTTTATAGTTTTATGTTTTCAAACATAACAGGAGTATTTAATCAATGGAATTTTCATGACTCAATTTGACCAAACATTGCTGCCATCCCTGCTCATATTAGTGTAGCTTCTGATACAGATCACCACCACCATCACCTCTTAGATTATCCTGAATCGTTATTTATCCTGTTTTGAGGTCAAGAAACTCTATTGGTGCTTAAAACAAAGCAATTTCACTGCATGAATGACTAATATTTTGGGTGCATCATGAGCAAAGGCCTAAGGGTCCATTTGGTGGCCCTGTTTTGCTTTCTATGATACCCTTTGGACGTGTGATTATGTAACACTGTGTCACTTTTTCTCCTAGGCAGGCATTTAGCATTGCTTTTCATTTAAGTCTTTTGCCGGTGGAGTGATTTTGCTGCTGTCAGACTGCATTATGGATATTAGGTCTTGAATGAGCTGTAACTTTCTGCAATTGAAAATTTCTAACACAAAGACAATTTCATTGGGCCCTGTCTTGTTTAATACATAATCCTTTGAGTATTCACGATCAGGCTGATTTCCAGGATTCTACCTTTATTGCCCACATTTGCTGAATTATGAAGGTTCTTAATTTGTATCCCTTGGTTGTGCTCTTGAGCTAATTTAGCCTTCACTGGGATGAAAATATGTCCGTATTTCCTTCCCTTGATATTCTACTCTCTTACATGCTAGGCTTTTGCTCTCCTGAAAAGACAACCTACCTTGTAAAAACTGGGACAAATAGAGAAGTAACAATAATTAAAACCCACTTAGAAACTCATTTTAAGTAATAGATCTTTAGCAAAAAGTAAATATTTTACAAGAAGTAACACTAATGATCTTTGTTTTATATTCTTTGCTCTTGACTACACACTGGTAGACATGTTTAATTGGCAGCAAAATTGTTACAAACAACGCATAAGGGAAGGAAGTAAGGGACCTGGGTGATGCCAGTGGATAACTTGAGGACAGACTTACATTGGGCACACATGTGCACAGATATAAACTGTACTTTCTGTCAAAAAATGCTTGAATATTCACAAGTCTTCCACTTTTATAAAATTACGGTTTTATTGATGAATGCAGGACTTAAAACTCAATATCCACCCAAAATATCACTCCAAGACTGCTATGAGTTTTCTCTATGAATTAACAGAAACTCAACTCTTTGATTACATGTTATAATGCAGGAGTTCTGGCTTTTATGTCTAACCAGCCGCAATACTAGACCCCTGGGTCAACCTTTTAATGATGTTTCTTTCACCACTGAACCCTCTCTTTTCCCAAAAAAAGTCACCAAAGCCAACTTATATACTGAGCTGCAACTAGCTGCAAAGTATATCCTATGGATCACAGTTTATAGCTCCCTGTCATTGCAACAGCAGCCCATGGCTACTGCCACAACATAGCTGAGAGCATGTCACCTTCCTCCATGGATCCATACTAACGTAGCACATAAACATGCGAGGGGAGGTGGCCCGTGATTGATAGATGTGAAAGATTCTTAGTGCACAAAAGGTGTGCTGGCTGTTTTAGTGTCTTTGGACCTTACAAACCAGTTATGAAGACAGAGGTCAAAGTCAGCTTTCAGAACAGGTTTATCAAGTCCAGGATAACCCCAACAGTTAACATGACTCTATTCAGCTAGGATGATGAATCCCAGATCTTACCATTGGGCGGAAGTCCTACAGAAACATCACGGCACCTTTCCTCGAGTGACTGAGTACACAGTGTCCACAGTGAGTCCCAGGAGTCCTCGTGCTTCTTGCTCCAGCGTATTCTCCCTGAAGCTAAGCACATGACAGCTGGTTTCCTGTATGACACTCTTAAGGCCACTGTCATCTTGGAAACTGCCTTCTTCTTGTTAGGCTTTTAAGCAATCGATATCACGCCCAATTCAATTACTGTCCTGCCAAGTGTTTTGAAGAAATCAAATATTCAAACTTTGAGGTGTATTGCTATCAAGTATTTTCAGTAGAACTGCAATGTAATACAAGTGATTCAAATTTATTTTACAAGATTTTTGTGGTTAACAACCACAACGTATGTAACAACAGTTGGATGCTGGATTCACCTTGGATGTTTCCATGAGCGTCTCTTTGTTAATATGCAAATGCACTAAAATCTACTTTCAGGGGATTCTCATATCTCTAACTTTGGAGGGACTGGCTTTCTCCTCATCTAGCTGTATTATAAACTAGTAATGAAATGTTGCCACATCTGTTGTGTATAAACTAGTAATGAAAAGTGGAGCAGAAAAAGGAATTCTCACATTTAGTGGGCTAATAACAGACTATGTTTCAATAATCTTCACTTACCCAACAATTATTGGCATAGCATATACTGTTTTTTAAGTACACATTTTTAAGTGTATTTTTAAATTCCCCACAACATTACTAACTGTCGGTAATAAATCAGATAGATTGTGCTCTCAAAAATGTGTCATCTGGTTAGAAATGGGAAAAACATCTACACTTTAGAACTCAAAGCCGTTAATACAAATATGTATTACATACACACATCACAAATACTCTTCAGATCTCAGCAGAGCACTTTTAGTGCAAAGCAGAGAGTGATAAATGTCTTACAAGAATAAAGTGCTATGGGGCATCCCAGTAAGGAAACCAAACTTCCATCCTGGGGTGCAAGGAGGGGCAACATGTGAAGACTTGGTAGAGGCCAGCCCCTACCTGCTCAGGGGAGCTTGTGAGACAGTTTTGGGACTCTAAGGGTTTAGCATTAAGAAAATGGTGAATTATAACAATGCTGGCACAAAGTAAGTGCCTGCTGAATGAATGGTTTAAACAGAAATTACAACAAACTGTTTCTCAGACCACAGTGCAACCAAATTAGAGCTCAGGATTAAGAAACTCACTCAAAACCACACAACTACATGGAAATTGAACAACCTGCTCCTGAATGACCACTGGGTAAATAATGAAATGAAGGCAGAAATAAAGATGTTATTTGAAACCAATGAGAACCAAGACACAATGTACCAGAATCTCTGGGACACATTTAAAGCAGTGTGTAGAGGGAAATTTACAGCACTGAATGCCCACAAGAGAAAGCAGGAAAGATCTAAAGTCAACACCCTAACATCACAATTAAAAGAACTAGAGAAGCAAGAGCAAACAAATTTAAAAGCTGGCAGAAAGCAAGAAATAACTAAGATCAGAGCAGAACTGAAGGAGACAGAGACATAAAAAACCCTTCAAAAATCAATGAATCCAGGAGCTGGTTTTTTGAAAAGATCAACAAAATTGGTAGACCTCTAGCAAGACTAATAAGAAGAGAGAGAAGAATCAAATAGACGCAATAAAAAATGATAACGGGGATATCACCACCAATCCCACAGAAATACAAACTACCATCAGAGAATACTGTAAACACCTCTACACAAACAAACTAGAAAATCTAGAAGAAATGGATAAATTCCTCGACACATACACCCTCCCAAGACTAAACCAGGAAGAAGTTGAATCTCTGAACAGACCATTAACAGGCTCTGAAATGGAGGCAATAATAATAGCCTACCAACCAAAAAAAGGCCAGGACCAGACAGATTCACAGCTGAATTCTACCAGAGGTACAAAGAAGAGCTGGTACCTTTCCGTCTGAAACTATTCCAATCAATAGAAAAAGAGGGAATCCTCCCTAACTCATTTTATGAGGCCAGCATCATCCTGATACCAAAGCCTGGCAGAGACACAACAAAAAAAGAGAGTTTTAGACCAATATCCCCGATGAACATCGATGCAAAAATTCTCAATAAAATACTGGCAAACCGAATCCAGCAGCACATCAAAAAGCTTATCCACCAATATCAAGTCGGCTTCATCCCTGGGATGCAAGGCTGGTTCAACATACACAAATCAATGAACGTAATCCATCATATAAACAGAACCAAAGACAAAAACCACATGATTATCTCAATAGATGCAGAATAGGCCTTTGACAAAATTCAACAGCCCTCCATGCTAAAAACTCTCAATACACTAGGTATTGATGGAACACATCTCAAAATAATAAGAGCTATTTATGACAAACCCACAGCCAATATCATACTGAATGGGCAAAAATTGGAAGCATTCCCTTTGAAAACTGGCACAAGACAGGGATGCCCTCTCTCACCACTCCTGTTCAACATAGTGTTGGAAGTTCTGGCCAGGGCAATCAGTCAAGAGAAAGCAATAAAGGGTATTCAATTAGGAAAGGAGGAAGTCAAATTGTCCCTGTTTGCAGACGACATGATTGTATATCTAGAACACCCCATCATCTCAGCCCAAAGTCTCCTTAAGCTGATAAGCAACTTCAGCAAAGTCTCGGGATACAAAATCCATGTGCAAAAATCACAAGCATTCCTATACACCAATAACAGACAAACAGAGAGCCAAATCATGAGTGAACTCCCATTCACAATTGCTTCAAAGAGAATAAAATACCTAAGAATCCAAATTACAAGGGATGTGAAGGACCTCTTCAAGGAGAACTACAAACAACCACTCAATGAAATAAAAGAGGACACAAACAAATGGAAGAACATTCCATGCTCATGGATAGGAAGAATCAATATCGTGAAAATGGCCATACTGCCCAAGGTAATTTATAGATTGAATGCCATCCCCATCAAGCTACCAATGACTTTCTTCACAGAATTGGAAAAAATTAAAAGTTCATATGGAACCAAAAAAGAGCCCACATTGCCAAGACAATCCTAAGCCAGAAGAACAAAGCTGGAGGCATCACACTACCTGACTTCAAACTATACTACAAGGCTACAGTAATCAAAACAGCATGGTACTGGTACCAAAACAGAGATATAGACCAATGGAACAGAACAGAGCCCTCAGAAATCACACCACACATCTACAATCATCTGATCTTTGACAAACCTGACAAAAACAAGCAATGGGGAAGGGATTTCCTATTTAATAAATGGTGCTGGGAAAACTGGCTAGCCATATGTAGAAAGCTGAAACTGGATCCCATCCTTACAACTTATACAAAAATTAATTCAAGATGGATTAAAGACTTAAATGTAAGACCCAAAACCATAAAAACCCTAGAAGAAAACCCAGGCAATACATTCAGGATATAGGCATGGGCAAGGACTTCATGTCTAAAACACCAAAAGCAATGGCAACAGAAGCCAAAATTGACAAATGGGATCTAATTAAACTAAGGAGCTTCTGCATGGCAAAAGAAACTACCATCAGAGTGAACAGACAACCTACAGAATGGGAGAAAATTGTTACAATCTACTCATCTGACAAAGGGCTAATATCCAGAATCTAGAAATAAACAAATTTACAAGAAAAAACCCCACCAAAAAGTGGGCAAAGGATATGAACAGACAATTCTCAAAAGAAGACATGTATGCAGCCAAAAGACACATGAAAAAATACTCATCATCACTGGTCATCAGAGAAATGCAAATCAAAACCACAATGAGATACCATCTCACACCAGCTAGAATGGCAATCATTAAAAAGTCAGGAAACAACAGATGCTGCAGAGGATGTGGAGAAATAGGAACACTTTTACACTATTGGCAGGAGTGTAAATTAGTTCAACCATTGTGGAAGACAGTGTGGTGATTCCTCAAGGATCTAGAACTAGAAATACCATTTGACTCAGTGATCCCATTACTGGGTATAAACCCAAAGGATTATAAATCATGCTAGTATGAAGACACATGCACACGTATGTTTACTGGGGCACTATTCACAATAGCAAAAACTTGGAACCAACCCAAATCTCCATCAATGATAGACTGGATTAATAAAATATGGCACATATACACCATGGAATACTATGCAGCCATAAAAAGGATGAGTTCATGTCCTTTACAGGGACATGAATGCAGTCGGAAACCATCATTCTGAGCAAACTATCATAAGGACAGAAAACCAAACACCACATGTTCTCACTCATAGGTGGGAACTGAACAATGAGAACACATGTACAGGGCAGGGAACATCACATAGTGGGGCGTGTCATGAGGCGGGGGGCTGGCAGACAGATAGCATTAGGAGAAATACCTAATATAGATGATGAGTGTATGGGTGCAGCAAACGAACATGGCACATCTATACCTATGTAACAAACCTGCACATTGTGCACATGTACCCTAGAACTTAAAGTATTAAAAAAAAAAGACAATAAAGAGGCTGAAAATGAACTTAAAAAAAAAAGTATGAATGACCACAGATGGCTGAAGAGCAACTATATCCCCAGGGGCATGTAATAAACCATGAAGGCAAATGCTCCAATTATTACAAGGGAGTAGGAAATATAAAATGCTAACTACCAGAAATGTATATATTATGAAACTTATGAAATGTCAAAGACTTACTCTGTATTCACAGATATGACTGTTTTATTCTATATTCTCGAATACATTGTGTTTTGTATATTGACAGCACTGATTTGGACACAGCTCTGCATATTAAGTAGCTGCAGCCAGAGTGAACCACGGGAAAGGCAATTTTTATATACATCAACAATGTCTGCATTTTTAGGGAATTATTGAAAATATAATCCCTGTATTCTGATGTAACTGTAAATACACACATATATATGTATCTATACTTGTATGTATGACGAATGCCATCTTGAAAACGTCTAGTGAGTTGTCAAACCCCTCTCTTCTTCCTAGTTTGCTTAATACTATAGTCCACCTTGCAAGGGTTGTGTTTCTACTTTTGTAGGTATACTGGTCCATTTTTGACACCCTGAAATGTGAGTAGACATGTGAGAGAAAAGGCAAGAAATGGTTAGCAGATACAGAGGCGAAAAATGGTTCTGAAAGGATTCAGGATTCCTTGGTTATTGCTGAAAATGCTGTGAAAGGCAGAAAATTAAAAATAAAAACACAGAGAACTGGAAACTTAGGAAAACATTAATCATCGTAAATGAACTCATCCTTACTTGGTCATTGTCTTCCAGACAGCGTATCTTGACTACTCAAAGGAGGTGTAAAGCAGCTCAAGCCAGCATAGCTGCAGGATGTAGTATTTTACGTCAAGTGAACAGAAAGACCTTATTCTGAGTGATGGGAAGACAATTTGAGGAAATACACTAAAAATTATAAGCGTGTGTTGACAGGAAAATGAGACGAATTGTTTACATTGGTGGAAGCCACACAAACCCAAAAGCTGTGATTTTAATAACACAAAATTTAGAGTAAGCGCAGAGTATTACTCCGTTTGAAAAACAGCAGACATATAAATTAAGTTGCCAAGGAAGACATCAAAAACAAACAGTATAAATGAGTTTTAGGAGACAAGTAGACACTTTAATGGGGGCAGTAGGGATTTAAGGCTGTAGTGACAAAGTAAGTGGACAGGATAGCAAAACCGAGAGGTGACAGCAGTGTGGCAAAACGCTACCATCACCGCTCTAACAGCATAAACCCTGGACCACTGCGCCATTTTGGAGTGAATTAAAATGAAGACAGCATGTTATAACACATCATTGGTTTATTTTAAAAAAGGGAGTGAATTGAGAGACTTAATCCCCTCAAGAGAGAAGTATTTTCAAAATTTAGTTGTTACGGTTGAGCTCTCCTCTCTGAGCCACTGGTTGCTTGTGTGAAACTCTCATTTTTTTTTTTTATCCAGTTACTACCCTAAACCTGCCTCTCTTTATCAATGGAGCATACCCAAGGGCTTTCACCCTATGGCCACATTACAAATAACAAAGGACACTGAAAAATCCCGATTCCTAGCTCTCAAAAGTTTAGATTTACATCCAAATTAACAGCCAACAAGAGAACTGACTATTCTTTCACTCCCTGAGCCCTGGGTGTAAGACCGCTGGAGAGTTTGGTTTGTATGGCCCCTGCTGTTTAATGATCTGCACTCAGCTGGGCCCAGAGGTCCTCACACTACATCTGTGTAAGTTCTTGGCCATTTCTAACCACTGACTGGGTCAATTTCAAAAGAGAGCCTGTTGAACCTGAAACCATCATACTTAATGGTCCAGCTAAGTGGTTCCCATTAGAAAGGAAGTCACGTAGACTGAAGTAATGAGTAAAACAATATCACACAATATGGGGACAAATTTTGCCTTATGCCTGTTTGTAATCTACCTGTTGTTCCAGGAAAGAAAACTTCAACCAACATTTTTTCTCCCCCATCCTGGTCTGTAAGAAGAAAATCTCATGCTTTATAAAAAATATATATAAGCATATGTGAATCAAAGTGAAATATGCTATCCATAAGCCATAGAAAGTATCAGAAGAATTTATGAATATGTACCAAAGGTATTTTCAATCTTTTCAGCAACTTTGGAAATTTCACGTATAATAGACTGTAAGCTCCATGGGATCAGGCACCATGAATGCTGTGTGTACCTTGTACGCTTAGAACTTATTGCAGTGCCTGGCACATGGTAGGTACTCAACAGATGCATGTGGGACAGATGCTTGAATAACAGACTGATAATGCCTTACTGAACTTCCCATTCACCTGACACAAATGATCTCCAATTTTTGGAAAATTTAAAACATTGCCATTTCATGTTACATTTTAAAAAGCTGAATCAGTCTGTTTTAGATCTAAAAAACATCAAGTTTATTACATTCATCTTTGTAATGCAATTTATTTTCAATGGAGCAACCTTTATCCCATCCCATTTCCATCTTTATTAGGAATTAAGAATCTAAGTGATATTGTCCTTTCCTCAAAAAAGGCTCATGAACAGGTGGAACCCATCTCATTTCATAGGAAGGTCATATAAGAATAATAAGAGCGACTACATTGAGTGTGTAGGTATGTATGTATACACACATCTCTAATCTTTCATTATCAAGAGAGACAGAGGGAGAGTGATATGATTTGGCTGTGTCCCCACCCAAATCTCACCTTGAATTGTAATGATCCCCATGTGTCAAGGGCAGCACCAGATGGCAATAAATGAATCATGGGGCAGTTCTCCCATACTGTTCTCATGATAGTGAATAAGTCTCATGAGATCTGATGGTTTTATACACGGGAATTCCCCTGCACAAGCTCTCCTGCCTGCCACCATGTAAGACGTGACTTTGCTCCTCATTCACTTTCAGCCTTGATTGTGAGGCCTCCCCAGCCATGTGGAACTGTGAGTTAAACCTCTTTTTCTTTATAAATTACCCAGTCTTGGGTATGTCTTTATTAGCAGCATGAGAACTGACCAATACAGAGAGACAGGGACATAAGAAAGAAGAGACTGTAAGAAAAACAAAAGGTACAGGTCTTCATGTTACTGTACATATTAGCTTAATATTTTTTTCCTTGTTTTTCATCTTAGAAGGACTTTACTGGATTGTGCTCTGTTAATGTGCTCATCACTAGAGAAGTAATGGCCACTGCGCAGCAGGATGGGGGTAGCAGGCTCTTTTCTGCAAAGAGCAAATGTCTCATGCAAAGGAATTGTCCCAACATGGTGTTCAGCCCCAGAGACTCACTAACATCACAGAGGATTATCACCCAACTCTTAACCCTCACCACCTATCAAAACCTTGCCTCAGCCGGGCATGGTGGCTCACACCTATAATCTCAGCACTTTGGGAGGCTGAGGTGGGAGGGTCTCTTGAGCCCAGGAGTTTGAGACCAGCTGGGGAACATAGCCAGACCCTGTCTCTACAAAAAATAAAATAATTAGCCAGGGATGGTGGCGTGTGCCTGTAGTCTCAGCAACTCAGGGGGCTGAGGCAGGAGGATCTCTTGAGTCCAGAAGTTTGAGGCTGCAGTGAGCTAGGATTGTGTCATGGTATTCCAGCCTGGGTGACAGAGTAAGCTTCTGTCTCTAAAAAAAAATTTAAAAATCAAACAAAAAACAAACCCTGACTCAGAATTGGGACCTCCAAACAGTGTGCTTGTAAGCAAGGACTTTAGAGATCACAAATCTTCATGGCTGTAAAAAGTGCCTCCTCCCATAACATCTAGGATTTTACTCCAGACACACAACTGGAGAGCTGGGAGACTGAGGACCGGGAGGAACTGGAAAACTATGGATGTACAATGTATTTGCCCTTATTTTTCTTCTTTTTGCTACTTTCGGGAACTTATATTCCAAACTATAAACCGTACTCCCAGATCCTGCAGCTGCATGACTAGCCCTTCGGAGAGATGCTCTCCTGCCTCCTCCAGGGAGCTTCCCTCAAGCCCTGGCCCCACTCTATGGTAGACCAGGTGCCCGACACATACTCCCACAGTTCTGCTGTTCATCTCCACAACAGCAATTGCAAACTTGAAAATAATTTCCTAGGTTTCTGTCCAAGAAGGTAAGTTTCCTGATGAGAAAAATTGAGCTTGGCTATAATTTAAATACTTGATATGCATCAATAAAACTTTAAAGTTATGCATGAGAATTTCTTTCACGACTGCTTGTTGTAAGAGGCCTGTTTCTCATAGTGTTAAAGGAACAAATCTAAAAGGAGGGGGAAAGGAACTCAAATCCTAATAACCGTTTATCAAGTGAGGAAGCCTTCTGGAATACGCTCTATGAAGGGCTTACTTCCTCAAGACATTTTGAATCAACACAAATAGGTGGCTTTCTACAGTCACTGTTTGAAGGGTAAAGCTGTTTGAAAAGCAGCACAAAGAATCAACTGATTTTACCACTAGGTTTTTTAACTTTGACAATTTCTGAACAACATAAAAGCCTTTTTAATATGTCTCTGTATTATGTAAAGCAGATGTCCTTGGTTACTAAACTGATTAGTAAGTGGTTTCTATCATTTTAATGGTTGCCATCATTATTGCAAATTTTTAAAAAGTGCATGAGGTTGCAAAGCAAGGCTGTTCTGTATAGTTTGGGGGATGACAGGCTGTCATATTAAGAAAGGATCCAGGGATACAGCTGAGGCCTTGCTGCAGAGATCCATTTTCAAAAAAACACTGTTCCAAATAACGAATAGTGCTATGCATTGAAAAAAGAATGTTCCATTCAACAGCTTCTTAAAAACACAATGGAAGCCAGGATAGAAACCAAGATTTGCCAGAGATGCCTCAATTATATAGTGTACCTCACCTGGGTGTGGAGCGTTCCAGATTCTTTAAGATGAACTCATAATCTGCCATCATGCTGGGCTATGCGGTTATCTGGCACACATGGACAAAATAAAGCCCCTCATCAGTCTGCACTGAGCCCTTTCTTGAGGAGTACATTTCCTCAGTTAAATGTACATCGTCTCTACTCTCCCCTGTCATCAGAGCATTTCTTTGAGCATGCTGGGCTCCGTGTATTCAGAATTAAGACCTCCGGAAAGACAGTTTCTGCAAGAAACACTATGGGGCATCCTTCATTAAGAAACAGACACAGCAAAAGCATTTTTTTCCACAAATCAAAGTCAAAGACAGTAAAAAAAACAAAAAAAATACTAGCCTCTTAGCACTAGGCAAGCTTACTTCATTGCACTAACCAGAATATTAACTTATATTTATTTTTGTGTTTCACTAACGTCTGCGTCGCTATTTGACCAGGAGCACCTGAAGTGCATGAACCATTTGTTTCTGTTCATCACTGTATCCCCAGCACAACATGGTACCAACCACATAGTAGGGCCTCAAATAATTGTTAAGGGAAGATGAGAAGAAACCAAAGAAGAAAGAAGGGAGGGACAGCAAGGACAGAGGGAGAGAGGAATGAAGGCAAAAACAAAGGGTACTGCAAAACAGAAAATGCTGCTTAATGGTTTGGCATCAGAAGAATTTGCCTAATTTCTTTCAAGCAAACAGTCCAGACCTACAAAGACTCCAGCATCTTATGTGTGCTATTTATTCACAAGCCCACAGAGACTGGCTAGCCTCTGAAAACACTAAGATAGGTCTTAAAATTTTGTATCAACCATGTAATTGGACCCATCAAGGAAGAAATTGGTTTTCTATGCCTGGAAATTGGTGGGAATTTTATTATTTCTGAATTTGCAAAATAGTATGTAGTTGAAAAGTCCAATTGTGTAGACTTATAAACTTCTCGGGCAAGATATGGGTCTAAGGTGGTGATTTCTGTCCACGACAGGAACATGCCTTGGGGTCTAAATAATGGAAACTGTAGACACTGAGCTCATTTACAGGCTACACACCTCCTTGCAAGCTCTTGGCACGTCTGCAAATGGACGCGCTTAAAAGCTGTTGATTTGAGCTGCTGCACCTGCAGTAATTCTGCACTTCAAGGACTCCAAGCTTCAGGCAGGAGCACTCACAAAGTATTTGTAAGAGCCTCAGCGCTAACTGTAGTGCTGCCGTAAGTCTCACTATGGTCCTTTTCTGCTTTCAGGTAGTAATCTATGAAATCAAGGGCCCAAACCAGCCACAGCATGGATGGGTTGCAAGGGCTGGTGAGGGGTGGGGAAGCTGGAGGAGAAATTAAGCACTCCCTAGATGCAGCAAAGGTAACAGCAAAGGCTCTTTCAGGGTTTCACAGTTGAATGCAGTTGTCCTAGATTCTCCTTGGGATTTCTGAAGGGCAAGAGTGCTCTCCCTGAGTGGCAGCTGGTACTTCTGGTGGGGAGGGGAAAGGGTCTTTGGAGATGCAGAAATTTCAACTGCATAGATGGTGTGGGTTGTTGGCATGTCTCTAAATAACAAGAAGCAAGCTTGAAATCTTATGCTCTCTTGGTTCATTTTCTGTTATTCAACAATCATAGAAACAGGTGAAATGCAAACCTGTTAGAACATTAAAAACTAAGGAGCAAAACCCAGCAAAGCTTTTCTGTTTGCTTCTAGGGGGAAGGAGCACAGGGAATGGCACAGTTTTGCTACTTGCTACTAACTATTTGGGGAATATTTGCTCCTTGGGACTATTAAGTAGGGTCTCCTTTTCTGCACCGATGTGTAAATTAAGAGCTAAATATGCATACATCTGTGAGCAAATGCCTATCCTTATAGTATATGAACTCTGAAGACAGTATCCCCTGACACCTGGCGAAGGTGCTTGACACACACGACATGCTCAAAGGATGCTTGCTGACTCAAATGAACCTCTCCTTTCACCTGGAGAATTAGCAGTGATAGGACCAAATTCTGCTTATGTCAGGAAAATTAACAGCTGGGAAATGGAAGCATAAACAAATAACTAAATGGGTTGTGGCGGAAGTTGCACAATTATATGTGATTATCAAAATTCAAAGTGTACCTATGAAACGATGAATTCTATTATATGCAAATAATATGTCAATAAACAAAAAAGCGGGGGCCGGGGGGGGGGAGGCGGAATCAAGCAGCCAGGCAAATAAACAGTGCCCTTAGGATTTGAATCCAGATATATGCATCCTCTTGATCACTGTGGTATTCCACTCCCTTGATCATTATAGGGGGAGGAGGATAAAGGCTTTTTCATGTGTACATTTACGACTTGTATTTCTTTCTCTGTGAAAAGTCTATTTGTATGTTTGTATCCCTCACTCATTTTTTTCCTAGGGTTTTTGATTTTTAAAATAATTTATGAAAGTTTAAATATTAAAAATAGTTAATTTGTTGGTAAAAAGGAACTAAAGATTTATAGTACAAACATGACATTTCTGAATGACACATTTATTCTGGAATTGATTAAATAAGTTATTAATGGGTAAGCCTATGCTAGAGAAAACCATAAATCTGATTGCTATAAGACATTATTTTTCTGTTTAAAATCTTGTTTAAAGTGCTATGAAAGAAATGAGGTCTGCTATCCTGAATCCCAGGGCACTCCCCAGCTTCTTCGGAGGTATTGGATAGTGAACATCTACTGTCCTTAGGACACAGGATTGTTACCAAAGTAACATCTGACTTTCAGGACGCCTATCTACTGAATTTCAACAACTGAATTTATTGCTCTATTTTATCAAGCTCTCTTAAATATGCTCAAGTTTATGCAAGAAGTCTAAAGTTTAAGGGGAAAAAAAATGTGCCTTCAGACCCTCCTGCCTTCGTTACTACAGGGACACAGAAGGTGACATGGTGGCACTGCTTTTCTGGTGCATCTTCTTGGTGAAGACTCATCAGTCCTGATCTAGTTTCAGCCTTGTTCATGTAGCTGGTCAACTGGATGGCGGCTTGAGAAAGTGCCATAAGCAGGCCATTCTGTCTGAGCATCTCTGGCTCACCTTTCCTGATGAAGTCACCATCGGAGACTGGCAGGGGAGCAGGGCTCCTCCATCCTCATTTCACAGAGAGTGACACAGGAGTTAAGTGACTTGCGAAAGGTCATACAAGCAGTCATCGGTCAGGACCAAAATAGAACTGGGGGTTGCTGACCTCCTTGTCTCCTGCTCAAATGATTCAAGGACAAGAGAAGTGACTCCTGAGCTGTAAAATAACACTACAGGCTTTTGATTTTCTCATCCTTGTACAGGATGAGCTAAGACATTTATTTGCTTTAACATTTCTCTTCAACATACAAATAAGAAGCTGTTGAACTGGTGAGGAAAATCCAAGGCCAAGAACCCCAAAGTCAGTAACTTCAGCTTTTCTACTGACTAGCTATGACCTTACGCAAAAATCTGAAGTCACCATGCCTCAGTTCTTCTCTCTACAAAATGGAGACATTAGGAACTACTTACTGAATATACTAATCTTTTAACAGAAGTGACGTATCTTTGAGCATTGTTACTCAAAGCTTTGGGGGCAAGGCACATGGGGGCTCACACTTGTAATCCCAGCACTTTGGGAGGCTGAGGCCTGAGGATCACTTGAGGCCAGGAGTTCAAGACCAGCCTGGGCAACACAAAAAGACTCCCCATAGATGAATGTGGTTTTTCAGCATGCCACTTAAGAGGAAAACAAAGATCAAGTGGAGGTGACCTATTGAAAACAGTACACCAAGCCTTGGGTTCAGACTACCGAGAACCAGGATGAAGAATAAACACCCATTCAAATGGGGTTTGCTTATCATGCAATTGGGCAATGAGCCCTCAGTTGGCGCTACTAAAATATATTACCTTCACTGTGCAAATCAGTCTTGACACATGGCCTTATTTAATTCACAGGCATGCTTATACTTCTGCAAAACTAAAAAAAAAATAGCTTTTAATTACTATTTGTTGAGCATCTAAGACAATTAAATGCTTCTGATTACCCTTTTGTTTTTTAAAAACATAGAAGCAGAGAATGAACATTTCCACACAGCCATTAGAGCAAAATGCCTTTTGAGGCAGAATGCATTCAAAGCATTCTGCCTTATAAAAAATGTATAAAAGGATAGCGCAGAAAAAGGCTGTGAGGAGTGACATGGCCTATCATGTTGTGCATGCATGAGTTAGCTTTTACAAGATCAGAACCAGAAGCTCAGATGAATCCTATTTGACCCAAGCCTGATGCTTTGGAAGTTCCGGGGTCAGTGGAAGAGCCACTCAAGGGTACCCTCTCTGGAGAGTCACACATTTTAAAAATACTTGGGTGATTTTGTCATTCATCACCTGGAATGGAGACCACTGCTCCATTTTAATGTCAGCAAGGATCATATTCATGTCATGATACCATCACACACGTGGTTTTTGTTTTTATCATAAATATTATGGAGTCAGACATAAAAACCCCTAAGAGGCTGTATAACAACACCTCAAGATGGACCTAGGTCTAAAGGAGTGGCCTCTAGAGCTGCTGCAGAGCACAGGAAAGCTGGTAGCACAGGTAGACAGCAAGGCCTCCTTGAGCATCTTCATTCCTGGAGAGCCACTGGCTTTTTCGAATGATACCTAACCAATTTCTACAGGGCAAAACATTTTGACTTTTGTGAAATCAGCAGGATTTATATTGTTACACCCGTTGAATGAAGAAAGCAACTCAGAAAGGTGACTATTCCAAAGCCACACAGCCAGTAAATGTCGGAATTCAAAGCCAGTTCTTCTAAGTCCACACATTTGGCATTCAACTAAATCCTTTAATGAGCCTAAAAGATGTGAGTAGAGCGGGATGATATAAAGGAATAAAATAGGTTATCACTGGTTGTCACTGTGATTTACAAATCATTGCCTTGTATTACTCAGAAGCAGCACAGCATAGTGGCTTGAGTGTGGATTCTGAAGCCAGACCGCTCAGGTTCACGTGAAAGTTCTGCCATTACCAGCTGTGTGATCCTGGGCACATGACTTAACTGTGCCCAAGTTTCCTTATCGCTAAAAAGAGGGTGATCATACCACTTAAATCATATGACTGTCATGTGGATTAAATATAATAGTATCTGTAAGCCGTTCAAAATAGTATCTACCATAGTTTAGGTGTTGTGTAAGTGTTGGTTAACGAATGAATAAATTATTCTACTATGATGTTCAGTGTACTTCTCCGACTGACATAAACAACTTACTGATGAATTTTTAATAGACGCTACCTAATACCTTTGTTCAAAGTTTCTTTTGACAAATTCTGATAATTTTCTTGGCCATGTCATCAAAAGGAGCACAGGGTCTCTTTCTTCACTGAATTTAACAAGTGAAGGGACCACCACTGGACATCCAACCAACTTCGCTGAACTCACCAGGCACTCTTCTCTCCACAGCTCGAAAACCACCAACTGATTTTGCCAAGTTATCAGCACACCCAGCTGTGGCACTAGCGCTCAAGACCTGAGACCTGAAGCCTTGCTGATCAGTTTCTGGTTAGACTCCAGGCCTCACATGTATGTTAGTGAACACATGCTCACTTCTCATACGTGTAAATTAGTGAACACACAGACTTCTCCTACATGTAAGTGTGTGAACATGCACAGGCTTCTTGACCATGTTAAGTTTGTAAACATGCACAGATTTCTTGTCAAACTAAGTCAACAGACTCAGGCATCTCTGGTGATTAGGTTTTAAAAATTAAGTCTAATAACAGACTGCTGAAAAGGCTCCACTGCAGTTAAGTCTTGGCCATTCACTGACAGTTACAACTGTAGATGGCTTAGTCTTTTACTCTTCTGAAGGATGGTTTGTACATTTCTACGATCTAGCATTCTTGCAGAGAAGCAATTCAAAACATTAATTTAGAGTATTAAATTAAAAGGATTTTATCGAGAAATTACGAATACTGTCCCACAGGATTAAGGCCATTTTTAAAACTGTTTGCTATTTTCCTGCATTTATCATTTGGAAACCAAGATACAGCACCATGCTGGCTGCTACAGGGAAAAAGGTCCTTCATGTGTCTTCTTCACATACCAATTGTCAAAGCATAAATGTCAGATATATTACAAAGGAAGGTGGTACAAGATGTGAAAAATCAGCCTATTTTTCACTCTATGATAGGGCAAAGAGACATGCATAAAATCGATTCCTGTGAAAATTATATTTTTAATACCACTGACAACCAGCAGCACCAAACTGGATTAGCAGTGGTGATGAGTAACTTGAATCTCCCTATGTTTTCATCATGCATTTCAGTATTTTGCTTCTTAGGTCTATTGTTTTTCCTCTGTAGTTCTGTCAAGTGTCAGCTGTGACTTTTTGAGTAGCTTTGAGTAATGGGATCAGCCAATGTTCTGTACTTGAAGAAATTCCATATCATTCGCTTCTCTAAAAATACTGCTGCCTGCCACTGGCGCCAATCAACAGTGATGAATAGCTAAAGGGACAAGTAGGTCTCTAAATTTACTTCATATCTGACAGCCCTTCAGCAGATATGGATAATGGATCCCTATGACTCACAAATACAACTCCCTCCTACTACAAGCAAGCCCTTTCTTTTCCCTACAAGAAAGGGCAAGAATTCCTAATGACCCCTGTTCTTCCTTTCCCCTTTTCAACAATCCAAGAAAAGTATGTTAAACGCCTGTAGCATCAGGTTCTTTGCAGCTGCTGGGCCAGATATAAAATGCTAGTGAAAACACACATCCCTTTTTATCTCTTAAGCTATTACTGTGAGTCTTATGACTACATTTGAATCAGTGTTACCAATCAAACGAAGTTGAAAAAATCAATTTGTGTAGATGTGTACATCTCACTACTGTACCTTGCTGACCTCCAGATATTCACGTGCCTACTGCATATTAATCTGCATCCTGGACCATTTGCAACAAGTAGATCCCCACACATTTATGTGGGGCCAATTTTATTCTTCCGGTATTTATTCTTCAAATTCAATTTGAATTCATCCTTGCAAAAATGTTTATTGAGGCCCTACTGTGTGCCAGAAGGTACATATACTACATGTTGGGAAGCCAGTGGGGATACTAAAGGGACAGAATTACATACAGAAAATCAGCTATCTACTGAATTGATGACCTTTAAAAAAGAAAACACAATTGTGATGTTTTAGTTGTATGTTTTGGTTGATCAGAACTCAAAATCGTATAATAAATGATCGCATCTTCTGTAGTGGGTGTAGAAAAAGAGGTATTGATCTTTTCAGAGTATAAACATCTTTGTGAAGTTTAATATGTTAGGATACATTTCAATTTCTCAAGTCAAAAGAACTAAAGTGCTGTGGCCAACCCATTGCCACTCAACAATCACTTATTAGAACCCTTTCATTCTCAAATTCACCATCATCATCCACTCACTCAACCTCATACAAAGAACAGATATTTGACTGCATTGATATTCCAACCATGGGTCTTAATTTCAAGTCCTTTTTTGATTTATGACTCGACGAGAGTGTAAGTAAGAACATTAGCAACTTTTAAAGAGTCATTAAGTGGCTTGTGACAAATCCTTATTTGGTGTTATAAAAAGATATGACACAGCATCTAGAACTGTCACATTTTCTTTGATATGTTATGTATTTACTGCTACAGCAGTTTCATTCATTAATACTCCTTCACATTTGTTGTGTACTGGCATTTTACATAAATACTATTGACCTATTATGCTTGTGGATATTAAGAAATTATTATTTCTATGTTCAAAACATTTCTTAAAGTCTTTTTGATCATTACTCATTTCATTGTTTTTACTCTCAGCATGTTCTGAGCACCTGGCCCTTTGCTAGGTATTAAAATGAGAGAGACCAACAAGAACTAGGAAACCCTCAAATGAGCTATTATATCAAACTTTAAAAAAGTAAGCAGAGGGAGAAATAGGGAGGAACATAATAATCAAAGCACAGAAGCATTTCCCAGAATTGGATTTGTTATGAGCCGTTTTTGCCCAATTACTACTTTAATTGAACCATCTATAATTCCTTCTGCTGATATTTTTAGTCTACAGGAAGCTAGACACAAATCATATATGAAGCCAGGAGCCAGCACATTTTCTGACAGCAGAGGCTCCCTGAAGTCTATCAAAATGAACAGAAGAAAGAAAAAATCAAGATGTGATGGTCCTCGAAAATGACACCTGTCAAATCAAGAACCTTGCTTTTGTTTCTTGTGTTCCTAGGCTGGCTGCACAGAGGAGACTAGGCAGGACCCCAGCTCATGCAAATCCATACAGGCAGACCCGCTGGGAACCCAGGTCGAGGTGGACTGTCGTATTTAATAAGGGATTCTCAAGAACCTAGCCCCACCAGAACACCAGAGGCCTTCTCCAATTTAAGGAATACTTGCTTCTGATACAGAGCATTTATAAAATTCTATTTTAGTATCCCACGTATATTTAAAGGGGCAAACATAGAAGACCTTCTCTCCAGCCAGACCTATTTCCACCACTGTATCTCCAGCATAGCTTTAATTAGTGAGAAAAGTCCATCATATTTTATCGTCCCTTTTCCTCCACCCTCTGATATGTTTCTATATTCCCTTAACAACCAATTAGTGATAGCATAGAGGAGAACGCCTCCTATAACATTCGGTGCCCCCAATTCCCCATGCACCATCTAGTGGTGGTAATAATTACATTAATAGCAATGATGATGCTGATGATGCTATCCTCGGTGAATTTAAAACACCTAAAAATGCCAATTTAACAGTGAATAAAACACAATCTTGATTTTCCTTTTGGAAACATGACAAAGTGCTTATATATTACCTTGGCAAGAATCACTATCCAGGTTAGAATGCAAGTGAAAGCCATCTATATTTTAAAGTAAGAAGATATTGATTCACTCAGTAACTAAAAATTGTGTTTCCCTGTTCATTGGCTTTCCCAATACTGGTAGTAAGACCCAGTGTTGCTGAAGTCAGGACACAAGCTTCGGATATGGGCTACACGTGTGGAAATGCATTGCGTTTACTCACGACTCAGTCAGGACACAAGCTTCAGATATAGGCTACGCATGTGGAAATGCACTGTGTTTACTCATGACTCAGTCAGGACACAAGCTTCAGACATGGGCTACGCATGTGGAAATGCAATGCGTTTACTCATGACTCAGTCAGGACACAAGCTTCGGATATGGGCTACGCATGTGGAAATGCACTGCGTTTACTCATGGTTCCGTTTCAAAGATAGCTCCCTTCACAAATTAGTTTGCACTTGCCATACCTTTGTCTATAAATCATTTGTGTTGCCCCAACTTCTGGTCTCACAGATGCTTGCATTAAAATTGATCATTACTATTGCTTTTCCCATAAATATCGTTGTTTACATTTTATTGCCACTTGAATTTCTTCTCCTAAACATCAAGACATCTTTCGCTATCCACCACATCTACTTCTTCCTTTGCTATCAGAAAACAACTGGTAACCAGTTGGAAAGCTGAAGCACCACTCCGAGCCTGGCCAACGGTTCTAGTCCCTCTCATGTGAATGTGCATGTGTAATGAGAGGTGACACACACGTGTGTACTGTGTATGTGTGTACATATACGTCACTAGGAATGTCAACATGTCCTCGTCTTTCTCTAACTCCTGCAGTTTCTGACTCCCTTTCCCGTACTGCATAACACATCATCTCAAATTCTTCATGTGTCCCTAGCGAATGCGATCTTGATGGTGCTTTCTACCTCCTGAGATACATCTCAAAGAAAGGAAAAAGCTCATTATTCCCAAGGTGGAGATGAAGAATAATATGCAAGAGCCTATAAAGCAGGACTTTGCTGAAAGACATTCGCACCCAGTAAAATGTGGCACATGCAAGAGCATCAGCTCAGGGTCTGCCTAGACACAGGCCATTGAGAAAGTTCTGCTGTACTATTCCATGTATATGTAAAGGTACAAATATCTAAGAGGTCTCCTTGAAAGCCAAAACTGGAGACCAGAAATAAGCCAGTAAGTAGATTTTAAAAGCTACTCTGAGTTATCCATCACATATGTAGCCTGTTTTCCTTACAAAAACCAGGCCGAGCATACAGGTTGCACTGACTGTCAAAAGAATAGGTCTCTCCTCCTCCAAACATTTGATTATTATAAGTCAACCAAATTCAAAAGATAAAACTTCCATTGCTTATATGAGAAATCTCTTTCTAAGACGTATTACTGTCTGAGGTATTGATTTGTTCTTAAATTGCCTGTGGAAACACGCTGAGTTTCGGCGTATCCAACGTGAACTTGGGGCACTCTGCCTGTAGGAAAGACATAGCACAGGAAGATGCATCCACATGATTTCAATCGTATTTCATCTCTAACCTGTACGACATAGGGCACGTTGCCTATGTGAAAAGAGAGACTGCCTTCATATCAGACAGACAAGCATTTAGAATCCTCTCCAATCCATAAGCAACAACAGTTACCCATTAGGGAAAAAAAAAGAAACATAAATCCTCTTTGTGACTGACAATAGCCTTCCTCTAGAACTGGTGGGCTATGTTGGGAGGAAGAAAAATTTCTCAGTCTATGAGACACATTTTATTGAATGCAGATCAAAGAAAAACTAAGCTTTTTCTTATGAATCATTTTTAACTACAACTGACAAACACTTATCAGTAACAAAGGCCTCGCAACAGAATCCACTCTATGAAGCTACTTTACTTTTAAATATCACTAGATGACCTAACCTAGTGAACAGGGAAGTTGTTCAACAGTTTTGTTTGGTCGATTTGCCTATTTTAATCACAGAAGTTTTTAAAAGTAAGTAAAACCAGGCAGTGGGAAGAAGATGTAGATTAACACATTAGAAGGCCCAGAAAGTCTGAGCCCCTGAGTAAAAAAGCACTCCATTAATAAATGCCACATATTATTATCTCATCCAAGTATTTCAAATCACTTCCAAATGACAGCTCCCACTTCAGAGGCAGGTAGCAGGATGGAAAAGGGTGGAGAGTACATCCTAACCGAATGGTACTCAGAGTGGGAGAGGCTGAGCTGATTATCTTCCAACCTTATAACCCTTCTCCCAAAAGGGCCTTGCTGGACGTTCTGTAATTCCAGTTTTGAAAGAATTCAATAAAATGCTCATTGCAGTGCTGCGTTTCCAAGGGCTTTGCTCCTTGTTAGTGGGGGTCTAGGCTTCCAAGCTCTCGGGCATGAAATGAGGTGGTGGTTAAGGTCAGGGTTGCAGTTCCTTGACAAGCAGAAACTGCCCCCGGATGAGGCCTCCCGTGGGCACACTGTACTCTGGAATTCCAGAAGAAAGGGGCCTTTGTTGATGCACTGCTGAGAATGCCAACGACCCATGAGAACACTCTCAACGTCACACTGGCTGTCTCACTGCCATCTCCCCACTCACCAAACAGCAAACAAAATGCCACCCAGGCCTCCTCCTCTCTTCTCCTCTCTGATGCTCTGCTTAGGGACATGACCTCCATTAAAGCCCCTCTGTTTCTACTCCATGCATTAGTGTATTTCATCAATCTAGCAGTGTTTAGACGAAGCAGAAAAATAAGCAGAAGCTTTGTCCCGACTTAGGTAGTAGGAGATGGGAAAAGAAGTACTAAGCGTTAGATGGCTTCCTAAAACTTCATCGTTTCACATTTTTTCTGTTCCACTCAATGACGGGGATGAATACTCACACAGAAAATCACACTCTAGTAATACATCTAAAGATGTAATGTAGCTAGAAAAGAACAAAAAGCAGATTTTTTTTTTTAAGACATGGTCTTGCTCTGTCGCCCATGCTGGAGTGCGGTAGGACGTTCAGGGTTCCATGCAGCCTTGACCTCTCAGGCTCAAGTGATCCTCCTGCCTCAGCAGCTGCTCTCCCCTCCCCAAGTAGCTGGGACTACAGGAGCATGCCACCATGCCCAACTAATTTTTAAAAATTTTTAGTAGCAATGAGGTCTTGCTATGTTGCCCAAGCTGGTCTCAAACTCCCGAGCTCAAGCCATCCTCCTGCCTCAGCCTCTCAAAGTGCTGGGATTACAAGCATGAGCCACCGCTTCCAGCCCAGGTTCATTTTTTGAGACACAGATTAAAATACGAAACATCATGAGTCCACTCCTGTCAGACTGCTCTCTCACCTGCCTCGACTCCCACCCACTGACTAAACTGCTGCCAATAAATTTCCTTTTGCTACAAAGTCAGGGGGCGGGGAGAGAGGAAGGGAAAACATAAACCATGTGCATGCAGGAGTTAAATAACCGGCCTGCAGAGCACAAGCGTTGCTTCCTCAACAAGGTTAAAGAGAAGTAAGGAGAAACTCACAAAACTTTCATAGGCAGGAATAGATTGTGAGGGGTAGAGAGACTGAAAAAATCACCTGCTCTAACCTGTGAAAGGAAAGAAGCAGCCCAGGGTAATGAATTCAGAGAGTGCCTAGCTGTGTCAGAGGAAACCTGGGCCACAGTCCTATGTCTGTCTTTGGTATGTGACTACCGGCACTGTGATCTCTCTTTAACTTTCAGATTCTTCGTGTGAAAATGACAACATGGGGCAGGCATGATTTAAAGGCTCTTTCTTGCAGCTTTCGAATTCTAGATAGAAACTCAAGTCCATTCACCATGTACTTGAGGCTCCAGTGAGTCCTTGCATCACTGCTTTCTTGGAGGCCTTTACCCATGATGCCCAAGTCTGTTTGCTATTCCAGAAACAAAATTAGGGTCCTAAAACAGATTCATGGATATGTGGCAACTTGTTACATATAAAGGTAGCAACACACATTACAGGAAAACAGATGGAATACTTAGGATATGGTACCATAAAAACCAGCTTACTATTGAGAGAAAATGCTGGATCCGTAACTTACTGCCACAGGAGCAACAGAAACACAAAAATCCCTCCCTTCTGAGGGCCGTAAACATCTACATATGAGATATACCTAATGCAGCTAACAGAATTAACTGCTGGAGAAAATATCCTTGATAGCTTGGGATGAGGAAGAATTTCTTAAATATGATTTAAGTCATCCAGGAGTACACACTGACAGATCTGCCTACAAAGGACACAGTAGACAAAACTGGAAGATGTGTGCCACACCTAACAGTGAACAGAGGATTAATATCCAGACTATAGAAGAGATTAACAAAAAAGACAAGAAACCCAATGGAAAAATGTGCATACGATGTGAACAGGTAATTGAGAGAAGGGAAATGGATCCAAATGGCTAAGAAGTTTATAAAGAAAAGCTCAATCTCACCAGTAATCAGAGAAACGTAAATGAAAATGACAATGATACAGCTATCAGATTAGAATGAGAAAGTCAACACCAAGTGGAGACGTGGGGAAACAGGAAACTTCATTCACAGATCCTGGGAGTATGAATGGGTCCAGTCATCCCAGAAAGGATCTCCCACACTTGATGAAGTTAAGTGTGCTTGCGCCCTGCAGCCTCAGAACAGAACCAGATGAACCCTCCCGCCAAGCCCTAAGGGGATATGTGCATTCACTGCAGCACTATGGGAAGTATCTGGGACTGGGAGGCCGCTGAGAGTGCTATTACCAGGGGAAGGAACAGATAACATGTGGGTGATCTATGTTATAGGACCCACGCAGCAGTCAGAAGCAAGGAGTAAGATGCACACCTAGCAAAACAGGCAGTTCTGAAGACAGTACAGGCTGAAAAAACAAACAAAAAAACAGTGAACCAGAATCCACAATCCCATTCATGTAGATTATAAAACTAATTCATGCAAGTATCTAATTTTCCAGGATACACACACACCTAAACAAAGGGTTGACACATCCTAATGGTAACCTGTGAAGGGAATGAGCAGGGAGTAGGGGCTGTGGGGAAAACAAAATGAGAGCATCCCTGCATGGCCTGAGGGGGAGAATTCTGCCAATCAGCACTGCACATCTACAGAAGGCAAGGAGTGGGGAGAGGGAGGGAGTGGGGAGAGGAAGGGAGTGGGGAGAGGGAGGGAGTGGGGAGAGGTAGACAGTGAGGAGAGGGAGGGAGTAAGGAGTGGGGAGAGGGAGGGAGTGGGGAGTGGGGAGTGTGGGGAGGGGATGAAAGAAGGGTAAGAGAGAGCAAGGAGACGGGATGGGGGACAGGAAGGAAAGAGAATGGGAGAAGGGAGGAGATGGGAGAAGGGAGGAGATGGGAGAAGGGAGGAGATGGTAGAAGGGATGGGGAGAAATAGGGGGCAGAGGAGGGAGGAGGGGGAAGAAGAGGGAGGAGGGAGAAGAGGAAAGGGGAAAGGAAGAATGAGAGGAAGCAAAAGGGGGAATGAGAGAAAGGATCCAGGAATGAGAGAAGGAACAAGGGGAGACCTGGCTTGACTGCTTCTTTTCAGAAGTGACACATGGACCGGATTAAGGGTTCAGAAGCCAAACATTAGAGTAAAAGACTTTAAAATGGAAGTGAGGTATCTTAACTTCTAGAAATATGTTTGGTTAAAATATAGCATAGTATTCAATCCCCAAGTATTTGTCAAATACTTGGGACTGCAGTAAGTGTGAATTCAAACTACAACTAATCCTCCTGTGGACAATGTTGCCATTCCTCCAGTCTTCTGTAGGGTAGCATCTAAGCGGCCAAACTCTACAGACCGCACTCCAAAACATGGAGGTGGCTATTGGTGGATGAGAGGATTCCTTCCCAGAAGCTCACAAGTGTGTGGTGTCCACATCAACACACACATCTGGAATCCAGTTCTCTGAAGAATTTGGGGCCCACAGGCCAGTTTAGCCTGGAGCTGCCCCCCTAGGAGAGGCAGGTGCTGCTGGTTTGCCACAGCCCCCCAGCCCCCTTCCCAAAACCAGCACTGCTCACCAGGCCTCAGGGACACCTGAGTTGGCCGCCTTGCTTCTGCCGCCAATCACTTATTGCTGGGTGGGGACAGCTAGGTAGGCAGCCTCCTGAGCCGCTGAGGAAACCGGTATCCACGCAGCTCCCTTAGTACAAAACATGTTAAGTCTTACTTCTTTGTTTTTGCTTTAAGCCCAGTTCAAGTGGGATGTCTGGAAGGGCTGGGCTCCCTCTGCAATCTGCTGGGCACCAGCAGGGGATAACAAGGCAGGGAAGGGAAGCACTGGAGCTCTCCCCTGCAGGCACAGGAGGTGCCCCAGCAGCCTTTCTGCAGAGAGGTTTAGATAGTAAGTCTGAGCTGAGAAGTAGCCTGCACACTGAAGCGTCATTGTCCCCAAGGACTACACCACTCAGAATCCCATGCTGGGTGTGTAAACAGAACCACAACTGCAATGCCCTTTCCCTCCTCAGGTGTTAGCTCCTTCCGTAAAGACCACAAGTACAAATGATGACTGTTTACTTCATAGAGTATTCATTGTTCTCTTTATGTTAATTTTTCATCCTTGCTTAAAATATCTACTTCAAATGCTCAGGGAATTCCACCCTGGAGGGTGCTGGGTCCTTGTCCCCATTTCGTAGTTCTACAGAAATGAACATATTGTTCCTGTTTCAAGACTAATATTAAAAGTGTCAAGATGGGCTGGGCGCAGTGGCTCACGCCTATAATCCCAGCCCTTTGGGAGGCTGAGGAGGGCAGATCACTTGAGGTCAGGAGTTCAAGACCAGCCTGGCCAACATGGCAAAACCTTGTCTCTACTAAAAATAGAACAATTAGCCGGGCACGGTGGTGCATGCCTGTAATCCCAGCTACTTGGGAGGCTGAGGCAGGAGAATGGCTTGAACCTGGGAGGCGGAGGCTGCAGTGAACAGAGATCATGCCACTGCACTGTTCAGCCTACGTGACAGAGCAAGACTCCATCTCAAAAATAAATAAATAAATAAATAAATAAATAAATAAATAAATAAAATAAAGTAAAATAAAATAAAAGTGCCAAGATGACCAAGTTCTGGGTTTGGATGTTTTCTGCCTTAAGCTTGTCTGTAAAGTGGGTAATACCTTCCAAAAATGATCAAGACATATCTGATAATGAGGCCATGTGAAAATCATAAAAACTTTTCATCATTTCTCTGCAATATGAAGCCCTGGTACCCAGTAACCACATTCTATCAAAAGAGCCAAGTGAATACCTGCATAGCTTTGATTTTTTGTTCTCATTACAAAGAATCTCTAAGTGAACCAGACACTATATAATGCCAGATAGTAAGTGCTATGAAGAAATCTAAAGAAGGGTATGAGGTGGAGTGTGACTGGGGTATCGTATTCCAGGGAGTAGTGGAGACTGGAGCAGAATCTCTATCAGGTGGGGGAGCCTGCAAGCTCTGTGGACATGCAGCGGGAAAGAGCACAGGATCCCAGAGCAGAGATGTGTGAAGGTGTCTGAGGAGCAGCCAGGGTGCTAGAGCACACAGCTGCAGAATGACCTGGCTAAGAGAACACAAGATGAGGAGAACATTTACATTGAGCTGGGGGAATCAGAGAAGGAATTAGGTTAGGTATACGCAACCCAAAATGAAAACCCAGTGGCCACCTCTGGTGGGCAATTGAAAAAATGCAAATGATGTCACAAAAGGCAGGGGCTGAAGACACATCTAGGAGTCACTGTTGTCTTGGAGATAATCAAGTCATGGCCAACTCTTCTGGAAGGGTAAGAGCAAGAGCAGTGGGTATGTCTTATTCTGCTTCAGGATCTGTTCTATGATTTTACAAACAAAACCTCCCTTGGTCTCCGTAACACCACTTTGGGATAGGTAACTTAATTATTCCATTCTACGGATGAGGAAACTAAACAAACTGATGAATTTAAAGCACAGGAAGCAAACTGATGAATTCAAAGCCACACAACCAGGAAGTGAGGTAGATTCAAACCCAGCCAGGCTGGCTCCAGAATCATTACTTTCAATTAGGACTGCAGGTGGTAAAAAAGCACGACTATATTTGTTTTTCGTTTAGTGAAAAATCATGAGGTACTGTCTAATCTGGACTTAGAGTTTTATTTCCCATCGGATAACCCAACCGGTATGTTTTGAATCACTGTTTCAGTTTTGCTCATCAGGAAATCACAGGGTTGGAAAAAAAGATGCTTGGCCAAACTACATCGCAGCTGAACCAGGGTCTTCATTCTGTGACAGTGGACCAGCTTCAGAGAAGGTGATTACACAACTGTAATTGGCAGCTGCCCCTGCAGCTCAGTTTTCACACTCAAGAGGTCACCTCTGCCTGCCACATGCTATATGGAGCCAAACTACATACTACCTACAAGCGTTGATACTGAGGCTCTGAACATGTCATTGTTTTCCCAGATGATTCCTATTCTTATCAACTCCAAAGAGCATTATTAGAAAATGAATTGTATCTTGTTTTCAATAATGTTTTACCTTAGTGCATTTAGTGAACATTTTTCTTAGTTCAAGAGTATGTTATTTTGTTTTTTGGAGACAAGGTCTCATTCTGTCACCTAGACTGGAGTGCAGTGGCACAATCACGTCTTAGGGCAGTATCGGCCTCCTGGGCGCAATCCATCCTCCCACCTCAGCCTCCCTGGTAGCTGGGTCTATAGGCACACACCACACACCTGGCTAATTTTTGTATTTTTTGTAGGGACAAGGTATTGCCCAGGCTGGTCTTGAGCTCCTGGCCTCATGTGATTCTCCTGCCTTGGCCTTCCAAAGTGTTAGGATCACAGGTGTAAGCCACTGTGGTTTGCTCAAGGGTATTTCTTAGGGTCCAGGAACCCTGGGAAATACTTAGGTTCATAAGGTCAATTTCATCAGAGTATTTTGTATGTCATTTGCTGGAAGTCGAAACTATTATTTTTAAAATCTCATAAAGTTTGATCACCTGATAGAGGATTATAATAGATTCTAGGACATAAAAAATGCAAGTAAATAAATCAGAATGCAAATAAATACATCAGGCTAACATTCTTTAAAAATTACCTTCCTCCAAATATATAGACTTGTACAATTTGACATGATTTATGGTATATTAAACATGGTTTAATAGGAACAGCAGTCAATATCAGTGATCATCAGATTAATGCTGGAGACCAAATACTAAGAGCAAAAGGGTAGTGTCAGTCTATTTCTTTAAATAAATAGTTTTCATGCTTTGCTGAATAAAAACAGAACTGACCATAAATATTATTACCTGCATTTCTCCCATTTCAGGAAAGGGTAAATTTAGGAGTCAGTAAATTCTACCCTTCCAGATTTTAAAATATGCAATAATTTTAGCCTTCCCATCCCAGTAACAGTATCATGTCTCAGAAGAGTTTCTACTTTAATCTTTTGGGCTACCTAACTACATCTATATACGAATTCACCCACTTGTTAGGTATTTATTCAGTATTTACTGGACTTCTACTACGAACCAGTAATCAGAACTCAATCTTGAGGGAAGGACAAATATAACCAATACCACCCCTGCAACAACAAATCAAACATGAGCCAGGTACAATGTTTAATTTCATGTGTCGAGAGTTGCGTGTGGTTTATCTCAGATAATCATGACGACCTTCTGAGAAAGGTACTGTTCTAATTCCCCCCTTTGCATATGAGAACATTGAGGTTCAGAGAAGTCAAATAACCTGGTTTCAGAGTTCACAGTAAAAAAAAAAAAAAAAAAAATCAGGCTACAAACACAGGTTTATCCGATTCAGAAGCCTAGGCTTTTTAAAAAGAGCACTAGGCCATGCAGCCTCTTGTAAAATGTTAATAAAAATGTAAGTGAAAATAAAAGCTTCTATAATGTTATGGGAATAAAAAAAGCAAAAAAAAAAAAAATCCATAATGTACAAGAAAGCATCGGAGCAAAAATTACATCTGAGTTGAATCTTGAATGACGAACAGAAGCTCTTTCAAGTTTAATCTTGAAAGATGTAAGCATGGTGTGGGGTTGGCTCTGGCAAAGCGTGGATTTTTTTCGAATTCTGATAAATGGGTGACTAGCTGGGGTGAAGAATGTACAGAAGTCACTCAACAAGAGGTTGGAAAAGGGAGATTGCAGCCGCATTGTGAGGCACCCTTAGGACTTGCTGAGAAGTTGATGCATTAACCATTAGGCAAAGGAGAGGCACTGGAGAATTCTGAATAGGGAGTAACAAGATGAGACTCAGGTTTTAGAAACATCAGTAACTTTTGTGTAGAGGTAGAAGGTGGCTGAAGAGGTTGTTCCAACTGTGCAAGGGAGAAGTGGTCTGTCCATAAACGATGAAAAGAAAGGAAAATTTTTAAATTGAGAAAGAAAAAACTGACAGGGCTGAGGGTTTCATGAGCTGTGGGGAATGAGAGAGAAAAAGGAGTGAGGCATGATTCCAAGGCATGCTTGGTTGAGTTTTATAAGACTTCCATGGAGAAAGAAAGGGGGAAATGAGCTCCATTTTACATTGAATTTGGTTGCCTAGGAAGAGATTTCCAATCCAAAATTACTGGCATTCAAGAAAAAAGCAGGGCTTGAGATAAGGATGTAAAAGTCAAGAGTTCCAAGGACGCTGTCTGAAGCCACCAGCATGGCTGAACTTGGTAGTGGGAGGAGAACAGGGCCCCGAGTTTCAAGGACAAATCACACACATCTCCATGAAAGCTACAGACAATGGTCTGCTTGCGATGCCTGAAAAGAAGTCCAATTTTAGAGCCATGTAACTTGCTAAAAGATTCAATAGCATATGCATTTGTTCTATCTTCAGCTATAGCAGAAACTGTTTATATAGGAAAAGTAAAGTTACCTTATGAACTGAGAATTGCTTAGATGTTTAAATTTGTTTCTTATACAAAGAAGAACCAGCTAATGCCTTTCTCTTTTAATTGATTACTTTAGAATTAGCACAGTCGGGCAAGTATCTTGAAATCCACTGAAGTCCTATTTTTGCCATGGACTGGAAGGAAGGCTTAAGTAAAAGCTATTGCTACTTCTGTGAATTTATTTTTGCTTAGGTAATGGATTCACTGGATTACAGTCTGGTCTAAGAATGTCAAATTCAGAAACTATGCAACTTCAATGTGGTAAGTAAAATTGACAGGGACACTATTATACTAATCAACCACAGTGGCTTATCAAGAGCTCTACCATGACAATTAGTTCAGTAAAGGCCCATGATGCTTCTATATGAAAGAAAAAAACACCCTTAAAAACACATTTTTACAATTTGGACTATAACTTTATTATGGGAGTTTGATGCTTTCTCCCAGGAAATTGCTTTAAACCAGGATACCTCAACAATAATGATATTTTCCTGTCATTATTGAAATTGTCAACAAAAGTACAGATCATTATAATTCCATATAAGATACAAAGAATGGAGCAGTAAACTAGATACATTTCCCACAGGATGATATTAAAGGAAAATTATTCCAGGCAAGGGAGAAATGATGCTTGGTATGCAGAGGTTACAAGTGTTTCCGTTGTGCTACAGTGGTAAAAACCTACCAGTCAGCCAGTTATTAAGGGTGGATCCTTGCTGTGTGGAAAGCACAGCTAATTTTCTACAAAGAAGTTTTAGATCATGATGTTGCCAATATCTGACTGTACCTGAATTAGTGGACAAAGTCATTTATGATACTACCCAGGTTGTCAATTTCTCTGACCTTGAAACCCTCTCATGTCTTGGGTTCTTTGACATTAACACTCTCCTGGTGCTCTATGTCTTGAGAGCTAGCCCTCTCTAACTTCTTCACAGTCTCATCTTCCTCTACCTAGCTCAGGAATCATTAAGCAATCTCATTCACACCCATGGCTGAAATTACACCTATATACAGTCACCATTTACATGTTCAACCAAGACCTTTCTTATGACATACCGATCTGTACATCCTATTTTCTATTTGGTATTTCCATTTGGATGTCTCAGAAGTATTGTAATTCACCCCACATATCGGAAGCCTCAAGTTGCTGATCATTCCCTCCAAACCTGATCCCTTTCAGCGAACTAGCTCTCTAACACCACCATTCATTCAAGTACACCAGTAAGAAATCCAAGAGTCATCATTTATACCATCATCTCTCACCCTCCATATCCAATCCATCATAATATCCTATTGATTTCCCCTTCTAAATCTCTCTCAAACACCCATAAAAGAAACAGGATTCAGAAACAAAGCATTTTAGAAACAGTCAAGTCTCAAAATCTAACTAGACAGCCCCAAAGGTGTTTAGTGGAATAAACACCTCTTTGCCTGGTGTTTCAACGTGCTGCCATCTGCATCCTAATGCGGATTTTGTTTCATTGAATGCAACCTTCCAATTCACAGAAGAGAAGAAAATCAGAGAGCTGGTATGGGAGACCTCCCTTGACAACAAACACAGAAAGAGAGTTACTTTGCTTTTCCTATCTCCAAGGTACCTGTTCATTGGGCTTGCAATGTTAAACATTGTTCTGTGCTTTAAAAACATCTCACATTATAAAATGCTACGGGAACTCTTTGTGGATAGGAAAAACCCTGCACATTATTTCATTCATGGACTTAATGTTTGAATGGTGGGGATTGGTATGAAGCGTGTCAGATGGGTTGAGTATCATCTTTTTCAAATATAAGAATGAATTTCACAGACTTCTGAAAGTTCCCTTTTCATTTCCTAGAGGGTATACCCTCTAGGAAATGAAAGTGAGTTCCATTCATATTTATTAGGAACTCACATGTGGTCCTGAATGAAGGTGTCCTCTCACCTATGAATAACGCATGTTAAGGACTTATCCATGTAACCAAAACAACCTGTACCCCAAAAACTACTGGAGTAAAAATTTAAAAATTAAAAAGTATGTGGAATTCCTAGGAATGGAAAAGGGCCAAGAGGATTTTCTACAATTAGCATCACCCTTAGCTGACATTCCACATCATCAACTTGTTGGCCTTGGGTGACTATGAATTATAAACTTTATTTATTTATTTATTTATTTTATTTATTTATTTATTTTGAGACAGAGTCTCGCTCTGTCACCCAGGCTGGAGTGCAGTGGCGCCATCTACGCTCACTGCAACCTCTGCCTCCTGGGTCCAAGTGATTCTTCTGCCTCAGCCTCCTGGGCAACTGGAATTTCAGAGGAGCCCACCACCATGCCCGGCTATTTTTTGTATTTTTTAGTAGGGACGGGGTTTCGCCATGTTGGCTAGGCTGATCTCAAACGCCTGACCTCAGGTGATCTGCCCATCTGAGCCTCCCAAAGTGCTGGGATTATGGGCATGAGCCACCACGCCCAGCTTAAGCTGTTTTTTCTGTTTTTTTTTTTTTTTTTTGTTGTTGTTGTTGTTTTAATGTAGAAACAAGGAGTTTCCAATAATAGGGGTAACTATGTAATGTATAATAAATTCAGAGTTTTACCAATAAAAATAGTGGCAACCTACCACTTTACGAGAAAGATTCTGCAATTTACACAATAATGTATAGAAATAAAATAGTCCACAAAGAAAAGCCAAATATATTACGGTAACAAAGAAATGTGTTGAAGAATAATTTTACCTGATTATGAGTAGCACCGACTACAAAAATTTCTGTAAAATTAAGTTACATTGGTGTTAATGCTGCCACAACTCATCAGAAGTGGAAACAGAAGGAAATCGGGAATTCTATGCTCATGAGCTAGTCCCCTTTTTAATCCATCTCTAAAATGTATCTGTTTAAGGCAAAGACCTCGTAAAGAGCCAACGAACAGAAGAAGAAAAGAATCGACCCCAAGGTCATTTTAAATGAGAAATAAAATCTGGAGGGAAACCACGCCAGAATTTATTGAAAAACAGATTTTTCTCCTTCAAAAATGTTATTAAAAAATACGAATGTTTTTGTGACTTATTGCCAAGTATATGTTATAAGCTCTCTGCTTCTCAGATGTACCACACTGTACAATGTGATGGATGGGGGCTATTAATCATTTTTACTGAAGAGCAGAACAGCCCATGCAACACAGTGGTATTAAAAAAAGGTGTAGGTATTCTAAGAGTACATTCGTTTCCTCATAAAATCACATTTCATGTATCCCTTGGTTTTTCAAATAGTTCCTTCCAACTGATTCACGTATTTTGCTGGTCCTGAAAGATGGGACGCTGTGTGGGGCAAAGGGTTGTCTCATGGCCCCCAGGACGACGGTCCTAATTCATTCTCTGGCGAAACTTTTATCTGAAGTCATCTGTGCGTTTCTTATGGCAAAGCTTATCTGCATTTCTGTCTGTTATCTGCATTTTAAACCAAACCCAGTTTTAAATATTCTCCTGCTGGACTGTGCCCAAACTGAGGGGATGAGAGAGGTTCGGGGAAGCTGCTCTCACGCGTGGCCTGCTGCCCAGGTAGAATTATCACCCGGTGCAGAGCCAAGAAGCCTCGGTCAAATCAGCTGTCCAGCAGTTCATAGAAATTAACCACACAGATAAAGGACAAAGTGGCCGCAGTTTACAGAAAAGTAAGGCCAGACATTCTACTGTATCCAGGGCCTTTGTTATTTCTACAGAGAAAACAGTGTGCTCATGACACATTTATACTTATCATGCATTATTTGTCTAAAATGGAAAAAAAATGAGCGTGCTCACTGTGCCTTTCTAAAGGAATATGTGATGATTTCAGTGTCTGTTATCTCTTTTTGGGCCCTCTTCCTCATCCATTTTTTCCCTCATTTCTTCCCTAACTGCCCTTTCCTCTGTGATTCCTTTTTCAAGGCTGAAGAACTGTTATCCCTCTGCAGTACATGGGGGTTTGAGCTCACGTCAATGTGCCTGACCTAAGGGCAAATGGAGCTAAGCAGGAGGGAGAATTAGACACTTGCCACGGCTTGGAGACAGGGTCTACTGCTCTCTGCTGAACCAGAGGAAAGAACACACTGGCTCCTGAACCTTCGCAGGAAGACAAGGCGAGGGCTGCTGGGTGCCCGTCGCTGCTCACAGCACAGAACGTCCCACTCCTCAGACTCTTTGTCCCCGTCCTAAGACTGTCCTTCACTTGGTCCATCCAATCCAAAATATGGGCATACGAAACACACCTCATCCTTCACACACACAACATGCTCAACCTTCACTAGCCACGTGACTTTCTTTCTCACATCATCCTGAATTTGCTTTTCTGGTGAGTACCCAGGGACAGCCCTGGTTCAGTGATGAGGCCTCACAGCCTGTGGTGAGTGCTCACTGTTAGTGTGGCTTTGACTGGAACACAGTCCCTGCAGGGTGGCATCCAGTGCTCCCTGACTCCATGCATGAGGTGTCATGTGGTCAGTGGCCGCATGGGTTAAACCCCAGAAGGCCAGACCTGGAGGAGAGATCCAGCTCCAGCCCATCTGGGAAGTCCCTGATCGGGGGTGATGATGGTGACAAAGGTTGGTTGACCAGAGAGATCCACCATCCACCATTTGGGGATGTCCCTACCAGGTTGAGTACAGTGTGAGGAAAACCCCGTAGAAACTCAGGTACCCAGGAGGATCCTAAAACCAAAAAGGCAAGAACAGAATATGCTATACATGGGCACTTGGTGACAAAGAATAGAGACAAAAACTTGGTTTTCAGAAGTATAAGGTCAAAGATAGTTAGTGATGGTGCCAAGCTACCCACTATTGAACCGGAGCACTCAATTCCCTGGTCCCAGAGTCAGGGTAGACCACAACCTTATTATAACCCAAGTGGCTCGAGGCAGAGATAGCATCGAAAGGTCCTATCATTGGGTATTTTATTTTCCCAGACTGCATTTCCATCTCTCATGCATATCTCTTCTCCTAAATCCTCCCAACTCAGAAATTTACTTTTCAATCTTCTGACTTTTCTTCATACCTAAGAAGACTGGACAAAGTGCTTGAAAAGCAAATGGAAACATTTTATGAATAACTACGCAAAGGAAAGACATATAAATATTTTTAAAGGCAAGTTTTTAACGTTAATGGTTCAATGAAATACCTCTCCTATGTTATCTTAATTTTTTACTACAAACATACCAGGAAAACAAATGTGATGGGCAGCTCTACTTTTGTTGGGATACTTATGGGAAATACTATACATCACTAAATTGCATTAACTAAAAAAAGATTTGGAAATTGCCCAGGGAAAACATGATCAGGAGAATTTTGTGAGGAAGAGCACTACTCCTCCAGCCACATTTTCTGAATCAGGGATAAAAACTCTTCGTTTCCTATTGTTTTTAACTCCCATTAGACTGGCATACATTTAAAGACATAAGGAACTAGTAATATAGAAAGGAAGGAAGGAAAGGAGGAGGAGGAGTGGGTTAGAAAGAAGCTTCTGTCAGACCTCGTCAGATTAAGGTCAAGTATAGAATTCTCATTAGTTTCCAGTTCATTTAAATTCGGGCTACAGTGATTTGAAAGTAACCTCCATCATCCTGGTAGATAGAGGACAAGTAAGCAGGTCTGCAGGGCTACACAGAGAGAGTGACTTGTTGCTTCCTAAGTTACAACCAAAAGATACTCAGAATTGCTTCTGAGCCAAGGTTTTTGTTTGGTTTGGTTTTGTCATTTCGGTCAAACTCTTTGAAGAGGGATTCCATGGAGAAAAGCTTTGCCCATGCCCAGTCTGGCCATACAACCCAACACAGGCTGCTCTCAGTTAGCTCCGTGCAACAGACTTGAGAGATTGCAGCAGTTTCCTTGATTCTTAACTGCTTTTATTTTCCATTTTTATTTAAGATACTTAATTTGTTTTTAGTGATTTACTCTTCTTTGTAATTAGATTTAGTGATTAGCGATTATCTTTTCCTTGGCAATGCAGTTTCCCTTCTACAGAAATGAGCTTAAGTCAACACTACAGTTGCCACTAAGTGTAAGGATTCGTGAAGGGGAAAACGACGGACTCCCTTCCCTCTGTTCTTCTCAAGTAATGCAAATTAGAGGTAAGACAAAGAAAGAAGTAATTAGCAGGAGGGAGGCAACAAAATGGATATTTTAAATGCAGAATCCATTCATAACATAGCACTTCTCAAGAGAGCTCTTCTAATAGATTACCTTGCTGAAATGCATTATTTAAGCTTTAGTTGTTCAGAGGTAGAAGTAAATGCATTTCCTCTGCATTGGTGCATAATGCGCTTCAAATAAATGCAGGTCAACATGAGGCTACTTGTTTGTTTTTGCAAAATCGGGTATCAGTACAAAGGCAGGAGGAGGTAGAAGGAGCTGTTAATACCTATGGATGCGAGGTAGGTGTCCAGACATACTTTCATGATAATGTTCAATACATATGGCAAAATGTTACACTGTAAATTCTAAGGATATTTTTTTTTTAAATATAGTTTTCCTTAAAAAATCAGCTAAAATAAATGCATCCTTTTTCACAAGGGAGTTTCACAAATGGTTTCATCACTTTCTTCCCGATTCTAAGTGTTGGCCTCATAATTTGTGAGAATTTCATTTCGAAGCGTCTCCTGTCATGATGATGAATGCCAACGCCAGCTTCTCCTAGTGGGGAGCACTGCGTGCCTGCCTCCATCACTCTCTTTTTCTGGTTGCGAAACAAAAATTCTACCACAACCTCTTTCAAGTTGAAAGGCAACAGGCCTTTTCCCAAGCTGAGATGCTGTTTCCCAGTGACAACTCATTGTTACAGTTAAAAATGTGGGCAAAAGATATGCAAGCTTATATGCCTGTTAAACCTCAGCTGCCCTCCCCCTGCAGGTCGTGGATTTAAAAACATCTCTTAGCTTCATCTTAGCTCCAGGTAAACTCACGAGCTACTGCAGAAAACATGCCGAATGCCGGGGCACTGAGACGGCTACATACAGTCACGGATGGGACTCTGCCACGGTCCTCAGTCACATTTACCCAAATGACACATTGTGGGATGATGCCGCACACAACCGCCAGCTACCACACTACTTCCACCCAAATGCAAGGATGCTCATTCTAATGAAGTCACAAACTCTGCTTAGTAGCCTGCTGATGTGTGTTACATGTGCATGCTTCTCTCAGAAAAAGAGAATCTCAAAGCATCTGGTTAACAATCATAGGAAGAAACTTCGCTTTGTAAACCCCCTACGCAAAGTATCACGGGGGCCACGCATCAAGGCCAGTGCTGATCTGGGTGCCTCATTAAAAATAAAAACCAAAAATGACATAAATATAATTAAAAGGGATGAATGATTGACAGGAATGATAAACAACCTTCAAGATCAAAAGCAAATCGAATCCAGTTATTACTCTACCAAAAATATAAAAATGTAATTATACTGTTTTCACACATCATTATTTGCCATTTTGGGAAATTAGAATGGACACATTAATTAATGTAGAAAATGATATTCAATTAAAACAAGTGCAGTGTATCCTTCAAGGTTTTGCACTAGAGTTCTTGTCAATGTCCCCTACTGAGGGGATTACACCAAGCAGTCTCATATGTGTTCATTCGATGGCTAAGGTATTTTGTATGTCAGGGACATATTCTTCCTCGTGAAGATTCAGAAACCAAATGACGGACACTCTAACATGGATGGACACATGATGGGCAGTCTTTTTCCCAGAGTGCTTAAAACACTCTTTTCTACCTTTAAAAATAAATCAGCCGATGTATTTAACATATAGACACAGCTCTCACTTCCCTTTTGCTTTTTTTCCCCTTCCAAAGAAATTGTTGTCAGGAAAAAGCTGGTTGCTATGGAAGCCTTATTGTCGACCACTTCAGTATGAGAAGGTTGGAAAACATTCAACCATTTCAAGTCACCTGATTTACTAAACATTCCCAAGTTCATTATAATAAGAATGAGGAAGAAGAGACAGACAAGGTAGTTTCAAAAAAAACAATGCAGCTCTTTGCCCACAAGTGGACTGCATATCCTAGTAACCAGAACCTCTATAACCACGGCTAATTTGGACAAACTTTTCTTCCAACGCCATGCTTACAAATGATGGCATTTTAGAAAAACAGCAGATTCTTATGGCTCTAAAATAACACACAGTTCTTGTCACTGTTGTGTACTTAGCGTAAAGTTAATGTTCTGCAATTCAATTCAGTTACGCAGCTAGGTCGCCAGCAAGTTAATTTGCCACAAAGACATGTTTCATAAACACCAGGGCAAATACAGCACTGCAATACACAGAAAGTGGCTTTATAAACTGGCCTGAAAAATGGAATGGCTTCCAGTACCATGTGGACATTGAATCTCCGAGAACTCATATCGACTGTTGTGTGGTTGGTCTGATCTCATCTGTAATACCATTAGCAGAAATGAACTGTAACCAATTGTTAAGTGGCTACTAATTGTCCATGACAATGATGGAAAACACTGACTCAACCTTAGAAGAGTTAATTTCTTCTGAGTGGTAGAGATACAATCTGAAGCCATCATAATTATATCACAGGTTGACCTTATTAGTCAGTCATTCTGGAGTTCTAACTGTAAAACAGAGATTAAGAAATAAGTGGTAAGCTGAGATTACATAGACAATTTGGACCATGTTAACGGAATTGACTGGCTGATTCAGTTGAAAAAAGGGCCTGGACAAGGCATGTAAAAAAAAACTGCTCCCTGATGAATCAAAATTGCTGAACTATTTTATAGTTGTAGATTATTAGTATATCAAGTTTGTTTAAAGCTTTGCTTGACATATAGGAACAGTTTCACTATGACACTCAATTTGATGACTTGAAGGTAGTGATTTGCTACAATTACGGAGCTGGGATATGCATAGGGCTATTGATTTGATTAGGTAATCTTACTCTTCTTCCTCCTCTTTTCCATCCTTCTCCACATCCCTAGTTTGCATGCCACAGATTGACTTACATAAATAAATTAAAATTTTTATTAGTTTAAATTTCACAATACCCTTTGTGAAGACAGAAATACCCTGAGGTGTAGCTAAAATAATGTTGGGTGTTAGGACTTTCAAGACTAAGCCCCAATCCTGGGAATAGTCCACTGGAATTTTCACATTAATTCCCAAACACCAAACTGTGGCCCAATAAACACCATCTCAAGAGGGAACAGACCAAATGTCCCACAAATGATTGAGAGCAGCATGAACTTCTTCTTCTGTAGAACTCAACTTAACAGCAGATGCAAAAAAGCTAGAGGAGACAATTACAAGTAACTGCATCACTTTGCATCTATCAGCATGCTAAGTCCCTGACAGAGTAAGAAATTAAGACTGATGCCAATCAAGACGTACAGCCTCCTATTATTACACAGTGGAATGGACGGAATTGCACTGGACAGCATCTGAAACGCCAGGAAAGGCATCTCCCAACAGACAAGTGCAAAGAAAAGTTGAGCTGCAAATTTAGAGGTGATAAAGTAAGATATCTGTCTCCTATGTCTGGATGGATTCACTCAGCTGTGGACTGAGTGTTCGTTTAGCAGTCTAGAATGCTGATGGGGTTCAGGCCATGCTATCCCAAACTGTGGCATCTTGGCATTTGTGAAAACAGCACAGGCAAGAGGGCCACTCTCACCTTCTTCCCTGAAGCAATTCACAAAACCTGGAAAGAATTTTCTGGCCTTGTCTATACCCAGAGAAGAGGAACATCCTTATCTCTGAAGAAACAGGGACTACAGAGAAGAATTTGAACAAACAAGCCTTGTTAAGTCTCCTTAGTTCAAAACCATGAGATCATACCCTTCTTTCCTCCAATCATATTTCTGCATGACTGTTAAAAACACAGTTCTCCCTGTTTCTTCAGCTCTTCATTTCCTTATGAAGGCGCCCACGTAACGTTAAATAAATCTATCTGCTTTTCTTTTCTTAATCTTTTGTTATGAGGGTCTCAGCTATGAACCTTGCAATGGGTGAAAATGTTTTCTCCCCTACAGTGCCTGGAATAAGGGGACCAAGGCCTGAGATCAAGGATAAAGTGGTGTCCGCCAACAACCTCTTGTTTGTGTTTTGATCACCATCATTATTCTAATAAAGGAAGCTGAAAGTTGTATTACATTTCTTAAAACGTGTTTAAAAGTTGAGGGGGAGAAGCAAACACTGTGTGATGTTAAGAATAAGTAACACCTATGAATAAGGTAAGGTGGCAGTGGTAGACTGTGCCCTTCCATTGTCATACTGGGGCCCTTCAGAGGCCTGTATGGGGATTATTTCATTCTCTCAGAAGAAGGATCTATCTCTGATTTTGCTCTTTGGCCTTGGATTAGAAGTTACAGATTAAATTCTAGATGTATGTCTAGTTGAAATGATCATCCCAATGGTTATGGTTTTATTACGTTCTAGGATATTGATCAGTATTATATATAACTGAGAAATTTTATTCTGCTTTTCTAAATGCCTGTAAATACCTGGTTCTGCAAATGCACTTTAAGCCAACGTTACCGTCTTACTGGTTTCCTCATGAACGAGTTATATCTGTGAGAATCGTTCATTCTGTATTTGATTGAGAGTCATGTTTTTAACTTGGAGAAGATTTTGACAGTGGTAAGTTCATGTTTAGTCATTCATGGTAATTTTATTGCTTGCCTTTCCCCATTTTTCTGTGGGTTAAATTTTTCTACTAGTTTCATTTCACAAAATGAGTTCAGAAACTACTAGGCTGGTAGGGGAAAAAAATTCGGGTTCGCCTCCATCTTCGATGTAACCTTTCCTTGTATTGCTGTCAATCAGCAGAGAACATGCTCGTTTGACTGCAGAAGGCTGCAACGTAGTATTTCCTCACAAATCTAGTTTACCCTGTCTTTAAAAAATGAGGAAAGGCATTGAAAGAAAAGGCAAAGCACATGAACTTTCTTGAAGGGATGTGCCATGTACTCAAGGCCTCATCTCTTTCAGGTCCTAGGCATGGAGGTCAGTATTTTCTCAAGCCCAGAACAGGCTGATTAACTTCTGTAAAAGAGGCCATGTTTCTCACAAAAAATTTCATTCCTTTGCTGAACGGTTCCCCAGGGAGAACAGCCTTACCTCCCCTGTCCTGGAAGACCAGCGATTTCACTTAATGTCTTCTACTCAGTTGACTCAACGCCCACTTATTAAAATGATGGAACCTGAATTTGGTGTTTGTCGGGGACTGGGAGGAGCAGCTGTGCCCTAACATGTTATGTTAGGAAGCTGATTAGACAAAAAAGGAGAATCAAACATTCATACCATAGGCTTACTGCTTTATGTCTTTTTTTCTTGAAATCATCCTATTCAAAAGGAATTTCAGAAGGTAACTCATAATTGATATTTAAGTCTACACATGATCTTGAACACATTAACTATGGATTATAAAAGAATGATATTCAATACAATGATTACATGTTTTTAAAAAACGGAAGAATAAGTCTGTACATTTTCTTCTAATTTAACCATCGGTTGTTTATTTCTAGCCTGTATTTTTATTAAAAAGTTGTTTACATATGCACATATGATTTTTAACTTAGGTATCAATTTTCACCTAAACATTGATGACAGTATGACCTAACCCTCTTAAAACTCTTGTGGAATTCCATTAGATCACTTCCGTCCCACCCCAGTGCTAGAGAATAGAAAATAATCAGTAATTATTAGCCTTTTTCCTTATCACTACAATCTTAAATGGCTATGAAGTATTCTATTATGTAGATATATCATAATATCTTTACCTATTCTCTTATTGCTGGATATTTAGGCTGCCTCTAATTTTTCAAGATTATATATAATGCTATAATTTCAATATGTACATTTCCAAATTAAAAATCAATCTTTCAATGTCCTCTCAAGTGAGTCTGTTAAAATGTCTGAGTATTCTAACCTATAAAATCCTTTCCAACTATTAAACAGTAGAAAATAGAAATTCATTTGATTTTTTATTAATTGGGAGGAGGGAAAGAAGTACATAAAAGCAGCATATCCAGATTCAGACATGATGTACTTCATATTTTCTGAAGGTCAAAAATAAGTCCTTCAATCTGGGAGGAAAAAACTACCATTTATTCTTTTAAATACAAACATATACAAAAATCCTCTCTTTTCCTAAGTCTTCCACGATTACTTCTTCTACCGCCTTGTTTCCCTTCATAGCATTCAAGGTGCTCCCTAGGCCTACTTTTTTTTTTTTTTTCCCCAAATTTCATTTTAGATTCAGGGATTACATGTGCAGGTTTGTAACCTGGGTATATTGCGTGATGCTGAGGTTTGGGGTGTGAAATGATCCCATCACCCTGGTGCTGAGCATAGTACCCAGTAACTAGGTTTTGATGTCTGTCCCCTTCCCTTCCTCCCAACTCTTTGGAGTTCCTGGTGTCTATGGTTTCCATCTTCATGTCCATGAGTACCCAGTGTTCAGCTCCCACTTTCAAGTGACAACATGTGGTATTTGGTTTTCTGTTTCTCCATGAGTTCACTTAGGATAATGGCCTCCAACTCATCCACGTTGCTACAAAGGATATGATTTCATGCTTTTTTTTATGGCAACGAAGTATTCCATGGTACAACACATTTTCTTTATCCAACCTGGCACTGATGGGCACCTGGGTTGACTCCGTGTCTTTGCTATTGTGAACAGTGCTGTGATGAACATATGAGGGCATGTATATTTTTGGTAGGGTGATTTCTTCTCCTTTGGATATACCTCTCATGCCTTCTGCCTTCTCTCTACCTCGTTAATCCTTAAGCAATTGCCATCTGGCTTCTGCTTCCACCAGCCACTGAAACCTCTTTCAAAGACCATATACTGACACTCCTGTCTTCACGCTCTTCATTCATCTAGCCACTGTGGCTCATATTCTCCTCAGTCTGTCCCTCCCCTTCTTGGGTTCCTCATCCTGCTCTTCTAAATGTCGAGATGCCTGCAGCAGTTACGCTTATCTCTGGCCACTATCTCTGCTTTTATCTCCTTTCTTAAAAGTCTTCAATGTCTCTAGGCTGGTGTGTAAAGTCCTCTATCTTCAGTTACTACACCCTTTTCACCTTCAAAATCCTATGCGCACCTCAAACTCAGCAAGTGTTAACTGAATTAGTCATCTTTGCTGCCATCGGCTGCCAACCTCCACTGTGGCCTACTGTGTGTTTCAAAGATGGCTCCGGAAATTATTCCCATCCCACATGCTCTTTTGCAACGTGACCCTGCCATCCCCAATGACAGTGGGAGTCCAATCCTCTCCTCTTGAATCTGGGCTGGCTCTTAGGACTCTTGTCACCAAAAGGATGTGGCAGAAGTGGCACTGTTCAACTTTTGAGGCTAGGCTGAAAAGACTGTACAGCTTTCTCCTGGTTCTACTAGAAGGCTCCCCCCTACAGAAGCTCGCCTCTCTCAAACCCAGCAGCCGTGCCAATGGCAGCCCAACGCACGGGAGAGGCTTGCATGTGCTTCAGTCACCAGCTCCAGATGAGCCCAGTTTTCTGGTAACACTTCCCACCTGTCAGATGTGCTAGCGAGGACACCTCCAGATGACTCCAGTCCTCAGCCAGCTGAGTCACCTGTCATTTGAATTCTTCCAGCTGAGGCTCCCAGACATTGTCAGACAGAGACAAGCCATCCACCATCTCTGTGCCCTGTCCAAACTCCTGACCCACGCAGTCCATAAGGAAGAGGTTCTATGCAACTAAGTATGGGATGATGTGTTACACAGCAGTACCCACCACACCCAACAAAACCACCAGTGCTTCCTGGCTCCCTCTGCCTAAGACATGTGTTTCTGCACATCCATTCACACAGCCAAGAAGCATCATCATTTGAGAAATCCGGCTCTGCTAGGCTCTTCCTCCTCTAGTCCATTCTGTAGCTTACTGAATTCATCTTCTTAAACCACAGGTCTAACCATGCCATGCCCTGCTATAAACCCTTTACTAGATCTCTAATGTCTAGGGAACAATGTCCAACCCCCTAGCCCAGCATGCAAAGTCCTCTAAAATTCAGCCTAACATCACATTCTCTGCTTTATCTCTCATTTTCCACTGATGATGTTCCCATCTGGTTGGATTGGTCACTGCCCTCTAAAGATGTCCGAAGTGTTTCTACGCATATGCCTCACTCATGCTGTTCACTCTGCCTCTCATGTCTTTTCCCCTCATAGCCATGGGTACAAATTCGTGCCTCCTTCAATGCACAGCCTTGCCTCACCTGAATGTCCTCAGCACTTCACTCTAGCCTCCTTTCTGGCATGCCTCACCTTTGCTCATGTGTGGGCATTGGCTTTTGCCTCTCACCTCCTCTACTGAAGCACAACGTTCATTAAAGGCTCAAATCACACCTTAACACCTGTGTTCCCAATGCCTAACACACTGCCTTCTACCTAAAGGGCATTCAGTGATTCTGTCACAGTGGAGAATGTATCAGAAGAACAGACTTCATTGGCAGGAAAACAGTTAATCATCTTCTACTCCAACATTTAAGAAACATGTATAGTATGCGAGGCCCTGGGAAGTAGACCGGCCCTCCTTCTCCTTTGGAAGTTCTGATAAAGCCTAACTACTTCACCGCAGGTAAAAAGAGAAGTCTGAGGTGAAATTTTGACTTTAGGTGCCTGGAGAAGAGGCTGTAGAAGGACATTTGCTAGCACTATCCAGCAACGCAGGGTGGGGTTCAAAGGCGTGTGTTATAAGACGATGTTTCTGTGGGTATGTGTTGTTGTGATAGGCTGATTATTCCTACTGACTGAATAATATGGAGTCAAATCCTGTCATAAATGTGATGTGTCTCATTCCAGGCCTTGCTTTAATGCACTGGCATTTTGAGAAGAAAATGATAGACAGCTGCAGCTCGCTGCTGTGCGATAACAGTGCCATGTTCTACGTCAGTCGACGGGCCGTCAGAAGGGCATAATTTAAATGGAGAAGCCAGTTGCTACTTCCCTTCACCTGGGCAATTTCAGTTAGAACTCTTTCAGGCACTCAAAAGACACAGGTTTTTGCCCCTTGAAAAAGACCTGGGAGTCCTAGGACTCTTTAGGTTTACTCTTGTCTAGTGTCAACTGCTTAAAATACCAATGCTTTATCATCCACACCCCATCCCAATATATACGAAACACATCTCTCATCACCTATCAATCTTTTTACATTGTTCATTCAGTTTGGGAGCCGGTATATGAAGAGCATTCCTGGGGTCGTCCATAAACCCTGGGAAGATAACAGAATTCAAACTCAGCAAACATTCTCAACACCAATGCCATCTTTAGAGATGTAAGACAGCACTGATGTCACAGTGCTTTATATTTTGGGGAGCAGTCTTCCCAAACACCATCTAGAGACTGGAACTAGACAATTCTGTAGCCTCCTGTGGCCCTAAGTCTCTCAAACCCGCCTCACAGTGACAGGGTGGCACACAAGCCAGTGAATGTCTCCAAGCAAATCAGAGAGACCTAATACTTCCTTCAAACCCAATTCTCAAGGATCAATTTTGCCCTCAGTGGTTGCTCCCCCATCTCCTCCTGTCCCTTTAAGAAAGCAAGAAAACACCTTTCCCTGGAATGTGTAGAAATATATTTTTACATGAAATTTTATTTTGGTCTAACCATGCAGGAAGCTATTACCCATCCATTATCTTTATGTGCGTGATTAGGAATAATAGCTGATTTGTGAAGTTATCTATTACGGGAAATAATCAAGATTAATGAGCCCTGTGGCACTTGCTGAATGCCTCGAGAGATTTATTGCTCAGGCTGTGCATCTCTCCTGTTGTGTTGCTGGTGCTGTCGGGAGTTTTTTTTTTTTTTTTTTTTTTTTTTTTTTTTAACAAATGCAAATGGAGACATGGATTCACTGTGGAAGAGGAAAAACGCTCTTTCAGTGTTATCAAATATTTTGGACTGCTCAGCCTCACCTCTCTCAATGATGCTATTTTACTTTACATAATGATGTTGGAATGTTGGCGTCTAATCCCCACTCCCTATCAGACCCGGGTAGGCAGCGTGCAGCTCACACCCTCTGCAGTGCAGGGAGCAGACACAAAGACGCAGCTCACTTTGGACTCCTGTCCAAAGTCAAGACACAGGCCAGGCGGAGGGAAAAATACGGTTGTTATTGCTGCGAATGCCAGGGGAGTTTAAATCACCTGCTCAACTGGGGAGATTCCGCTCTCTCCTCAGTGGAGCTGCCCTATAGCTATAAGGGTCTTCCAGATGGCACTGCATTATCCTGAATAATCCTGTTCATTGAAAAACAGTGGGTACCTATAGATTTGATCCCGTGTATTAGAACACCATGAAAGAAGAGTCCAGGAGATTGTCAAATATATTTTGATTGCAAATTGTTATTTGGCAATAACAATAGCTAACATTTATGAAGTTCTCCTAAGCACTTTCACGTGTATTAATTCATTAAATCCATCACAATGAACTTGTTATTGGTACTGTCGCTTTCCTCAGTTTACAGATGGGCCGTTGAGGCACAGAGAGTTGACAGAAAAGGTCTGGATTATTGTGAAGGTCTGGATTCATCCAGGGCAGTGCTATCCTCGATGTATTTCTGGAAATGGAGTGGTGACCCAGGATTCAAATGGTGGTGCAGTCTGTTTTATTAACTGTGTGGTTAATATGACATTATAAAAACTGCTTCTGACACAAGGCAGATGGGGAGGTGGGGACAAAAAACTCCCAATAACTGGATCCCATCTTGGGGAAGCAGATGCAGGCCCTGAACCAGACCGCCTGCTTTTGCATTCCCAATATGTAACTTTAGGCAGTTTCTGTCAACTCTCTGTGCCTCAACGGCCCATCTGTAAACTGGGGAAAGCAGCAGTACCAATAACAAGGTCACTGTGATGGATTTAATGAATTATTATACATAAAAGTGCTTAGGAGAACTTTGTAAATGTTAGCTATTATTGTTATTGCCAAATAACAATTTGCCAATCAAAATGTATTTGACAATCTCCTGGACTCTTCATTCACGGTGTTCTAATACACGGGCTCAAATCTATAGGTACCCCATGTTTTTCAATGAACAGGATTATGGTATAAAAGGTGAACATCAAATTAGGAGTTAAAAGGTCTGGCTTCTAGACCCAGGCCAGCCACTGAACAATGATGTGCTGCTGACCACAGCACTTTACTTTGGGTCTAGTTTTCTTGTCTGTAAAGAACTGGAAAATGATTTCCAATGTCTTCAACGACAGTATCTACTAAACCTTAAGGTTATACTTCTTCTTTTTGTTAACTTAGGGGGAAGAACAGCATGATGATTAAATATAAAATCACTGCCATATTCTCAATATTTTACGTAAATGAAAGAAAAGCCAAACGAGTAAATTCAAATACTGAGAATATCATTGTATTATCAACTAATAAAGCCAGAGTATTTGTAGAAATTTTCAGAAACCAAAGCCTTTGAAAAATACAGTAATAGCAGAACATCCCAAAAGGATACTTTTAATGTGTTAGTGCCTAGAATTTCCGTAATGATATTAAGAGGATCATTGGGTTTATTTAAAAGCGTATATACTGATGACCTTAGCAGTTTGACGATAATGACCTCTTTGTTGCGGGGTCTGTATTCTCTAGACAGTAATTTTCACATTCTCTGGGCAGACCTTAGAAAATGAGACCGTGGGTTTTTTTTTCTTTTATTCTCTTTCCTAGGGACTTTTACTAATTATCAGGTAAAATCTTAGAATTCTATATCAATAGTAAATTGACTAGTTTTTTTAAAGTGGTATTTTCATTTTCAATTTAAAAACAGAAATGAGTCTTTGGGAATTATACCAACTGTGAATTTAAGTGCATGATTATCATTTTTCTCGCTCAACTCCACCCTTGACTCTGCCCATTAATATACTGTCCATCTTTCTTGAAGCCCAAGTGAAATTCTAAGACATCATCTTCAGCCTTTCCAAATGACATTCACCACTCAGCACCCCAAAGCCTGTTTAACTCTAATGTAGCATTTTGTACAGCACACTTAATTGTGCTCTGGCACACGCCTTCTTTCAACCCAGTAAGGACCTAAGCATAGCATCTACCTCTAACCCACATTTGTTCAAAAACACAGCCAATCTTGTGTCCATGCATTCCTCTGGCTGCCCAACAAGACCCTGAACACAAGAGCCGCATATTCACTTGCGTTTGTTTCCACCACCATATCTGGCAGACACCATCAACAAAGCTATTACTCCACCTAAGCTGTGGAATTGAATTATTTTACTTCTTGGGGTTACATCCAACCAGAAAACAAGATAGTAAATTCTTCTGGAGGAAAATGAATCTTCCAAGCGACAGTTTCCTTTCCTTGCCAAAACATTACTTGCTCAGACCACTGGCAACCAGCAGGGACCGGATCTTCACAGTGGGCTGGTAATGGCTGTGACCCTTCAATAGTGGGGTCTGGGCCCCTGGATTGAGGGAGCAGTAAATCATGTCTGATATAGTCCATGCTGTGGTTGCTGAGACTGGCAACGGGAAGCACAGAGTGAAGACGTGGTCAGTACATGTCAGCCTTGGTTTCAAGGCCCTCTCCGTACACTTTCTGATCTAATTCTCCCTTATCACTAAATGAAAATGGCATCATCATCCCCTTTCTAATGATGAAGACACTGGGGTATGGAGAGGTTCACTGGCTTGCCCAAGTCAGTGGTGGAACCCAGAGTCCAATTCAAGCTGTCAGACTCCCAAGTCCTTGCTCTCAACCACTCAACTCGGTGAGATGGGGCAGAGAGTAACTACATGCATCACCCATTGCAGGAAAAGGGGAAATATGGAAAATGCAAAGGAGAAAACAGGTCAAAGCAGAGGGCTGAACTGAGGTTCTAGAGAGGGAGCCTAACATTACCTTAGTAAAAACTTTCATAGAAGACCCAAGCTATTTTCCATCCTTGATAGGCTGGTTATTTGGGGTCTTGGCACCCCTCCGTGACAGAAATAGATACCACCATCATCACGCTACTCCTAGGCCAGTCGGTTGTGGCCTCTTCCCGTCCCTGTTATTTAAACTCAATTACATTTACATTTAAGGGTTCCTTCCTAGAAGCCCCTTTCACAGAGCAGTCAAGAAGCTGAAATACACATTTGTTTCCTATTATTAGGAATTCACCAGTTGGCACAGTCCCCAATCATGAGCATCTGTCAAAGTGATAATGGTCCTTTCACTCCTTTCCCCAGTTCATTTTTATTTTCCCAAAAGAGGTGTCAGCTGTCAACAGATTCCGTGGTATGAACAGAAGGGTCACCCTGAACCCCCACCTCACTGCCAATCAGGATAAGATAACAATCACAACCGAAGGATGCACTGTGTCCTGGGATGGGACCCAGGGTTACGATCCATCCTCATGGCTGACTCCTTCATGAAGGGAGAGGAGGAACACTATTCTTATATGAATGGAATTTTTTATCTGACATCTATTTATTCAGCTTAGAGATATTAGGAAAAAGTAACTTCACCTCATTCCATTTACAGCTAATCATTACACACCAAGGGGCTGTTTCACACACACTATCTGAAGGACAACAAATTCTGACCATTTTGCTCGAAGGCAGCTTCTTTCTCCATCTACAAGAGGTATCTTGAAGTCAATAGATTGTTTCCTACCATGGATGAAGCAAGCAGGCCATAAAGCATGGCTTACTCACAGACAGCATGGACTTCATGCCAAGAGCTCAAAGAATGTGGTTTTCAACTTAAATTTGGAAATGTGAAACACTGACTCCAGAGATCTGTAATCTGAAAATCATAGCATTTTTAGAACTGGAAGGGATCTCAGAGCTCATCTAAGTAATCTCCTCATTTTACAGATCAGAGACTTGAGAGCCACAGAAGAGGAGTGATTTACATAGTTACTCTCTATTCAGAGCAAAGTAGGATCTGGAGCCATTTTTATGTCTCCTAAGGACTCAGTTACTGCCCTGCAGGGCCACCTAGCACAGTGCCTCACCCAGGCCAGCCATCAGTACGTTTCTGTTGAACAGCTGAGTGATCTGGAAATATAGAACAACTAGCGGGAAGAGAGTTTGGAGATAGATATCAGCACCTGGGCAGGTCATACAGCTCATCCTTATCACTGCAACGAAACAAAGTTCAACCGTTGGCTGCAACTGAGTGGACTCTCTTTAGGATCCTCTGTTGGAAGGAGCTAGAAGCAGGATACCATTTTTTTTTCCTATGTTTTCTTGGAGTTTTAACAGATTTGGATTCTGAAAGAGTCCCTGGAGGTAAAGCAGAGATGGGCCTGTGTGAGCGTGGACAGGGGGTGTCACCTTCCTCATTCCTGCCCTCCACAGGACTCTGGGTCCAAACAGAAGCAAGGGATGCAGCCCCAGCCCCAGGCCATAGGAACACATGCCACTCTGTGATAAACTGGCCAAAGTGACAGGCAAATCTGCAAGTCTCTCCAGGGAACGAAAACTAGGCCAGGGTGATGTGTTATCAGGCCCAGAATAAAACTTGTTTTATTTGATTCTCCATGAGTTAAAAATGCATGGAAGACAGCACCAATATAATGGGGACATCAGAGGCCAGGGAAAATACATCCCTAAGTGATGAATGTGTCCTGAAAGCCTTTCTTTCTTAAGGTAAAGAATATCAAGGAAGCCCAGCTGATACACACTAGAAACCCTTTGCCAATACTTATTTACCAGAGTGGGCAAAAAAATGTGTCAAGTATGCCAGAGAAAAAACAAATCTGTCAAAATCTCCTCGTACAAATTTTCATCTATTTCTAAATCCATCTCCCATGAGAACCCTTCCAGAGGTTCTAACACGTGAATTTAATGAAATCTCCTATTTTTTATTTTTTTTCTATCTCAACTCTTCCAAGTTCTGGCTGGTATCTGATCCCTCAGTGCCAAAACAGCAAAGCAGGCTCCTCAAGTAGAATTTCCATCTTTCCTGGGAAAAATGTTCTATTGGGAACGTGAATGCTCTTTCCCTAACATTTTGTTTAGTCAGTTTTTCAAACTTGAATTGTCCCAGGTATGACTTAGAGAACTTGGATGCTAGTTAAACTTGAGTTTTCAAGAAGCACCCTTTCAATTATGAGACTGAGATTTAGACACCAACTCCTGAAGGCTTCTTTCTTCCTCCCCCTAGGCTGCTGGTCTTTTTGCCAACCTGGGTAATAGAAAATCCCTTTGTAAAAGCTTCTTCAAAAAAAATCTTACATTTTTAGCTGATGCTATTAACATGAGAACATGTCCCATTTTATAAAAGTTCTTATCTGCTAGAACCAATGTACATGAGTAAGTCTTCACTTCACTAATGAATTTATTATAAGACTGGAATTGCCCCCTATCCCCAAATAAGCACCATTTAAAGAATAATTTTTTCTAAGTTTGATTTCTATGAAATGGATGCTAAAGCAACATCTGAGAAATTCAACCAGCACCTGTTTTTCAAAGGAACACCAGACTAATTCATCTCACTGGGCCCACTCAGAAAGTAAAACCAGAAGCAGGCTGAGACAGACAGCCCTAGCCTGCCTCTAGAAACTGGCAGCTGGCTCAACTTAATTCTAATGACAACAGACGTGGATCAACTTGTGGTTCATATAATTTTCTTTTCATTAGGTGACTATCAGGACTTTGACTGAAATTTAAGACTGTCTCAGCAAAGCCTGTCCAGCATCCTCCTCCACCTCCGGAATAGGGGCTTATCACAGAAGTCTTAAATTAACCACCCACATAAGGTTCTCTCTACAATACACAATGAAAAGGCCCTTCAATATCCAAATCACTGTCATGCACCAATTATCTTCTCACAGAATGAGTGTCTGATAGAGAGGAAGGTAATGGTTAATGCAGACAGAAACTTTCACGTCTAACACTGCCTTTGCCTGAAATAAGTACAAAGTCTACTTATTTTTATAGATGTCCAGGTAGCCATCAGTGAATCCATTTTCTGAGTAATCACAGGTAAACTGCAAACTGTATGTTCCTGGTCTTAATAGAGGAACTAGTAATAGCCACATCCCACTAAATATATGTACTCGCCCACTTGCTCATTCCATGAATGTTTACTAAGCACCTAGGATGGTCCAGGAACTAGGTGCTTATAAGAAATTATCCATTCATGACTGTAAAAGACTTGTAAAAATACAGCTCATTTAAACAAAGAAAAAGCAAGGGGAACTAACATTAATGGGGTCTCTACTTGGATCTTTTACATGACCTCACTTAATTCTCACAATAAACCTATGTTATTTCCATTTTTAAAATGAGGAAATTGAGGTTGTGAGAGGTTAAATGATTTGCTCAAGGTGACCCTCAGTAGCAAAATCAGCATTTGAACTAGCATCTGTCAAGTGCAAAGCTCTTTCCTCTCTACCTTAATGACTCTCATAAATATGGCTAAAACATTTATAAACCGGAGAGCAATTCACAACAGTTTATAATCTGGATGGTTCCATTTCATTTTTTTCTTAGCGCTATAAGTAGTAAAAATGGTCAGCAGCTAACAAATCCCAAAGTCATCTTGCAGTACAGTGCATCTTGCTATTGCTGTTTGCACTCTACTGTGGTAACTCTGATCATATGTGATGATACTGCCAGGTGATGGCAGAAGCTGACCCAAGAGGGAAAGGTGAGTGACAACTTCTCTTTTCATCTTGAATTGCTAGATTCCATGGCCTAAAAAGGGGGGGGGGGCTGTATTAGTCCATTCTCACACTGCTATGAAGAAATACCCAAGACTGAGTAATTTATAAAGAGGTTTAATTGACTTACAGTTCTGCATGACTGCAGAGGCCTCAGGAAACTTACAATCATGGCGGAAGGCACCTCTTCATAGGGAGGCAGGAGTGAGAATGAATGCCAAGTGAAGGGGGAAGCCCCTTATAAAACCATCACATCTCCTGAGAACTCACTATCACAACAACAGCATGGGGAAAATCCCTGAACCCCCATAATTCAATCGTCTTCACCTAGTCCCACCCTTGACTCATGGGTATTATTACAATTCAAGGCAAGATTTGGGTGGGGACACAGAGCCAAACCATACCATGGGCCATCTGCATTTTCCGCACGTTTTTGTTGAGGTGACAGCTGTACTTCAACCTAAAAGCTGGGTATCTGCTAAAACCAAGGTCTACAGATGGGAACATAAAGCTATTTTAGAATAAGAGTTCATTTAGGTGAGAGGACTTTAGTTCAGGTAAGTACAAAAAACGTATGAAATTTATACATTTTTGAGATACTCCTCTCTTGTCACTCTCAGTAAGTTTTAGAACGTTTTTAGTTTTACTTCCAGGGCAATAAATGTAAGGAGTCCCCTTAAAACTCCAGAGAGGGTAGGGAGTAAGAGTAAAACAGAGGAGTAAGTAGTTTTATACTTTGAGTACATGAAGGAGATGCACCCCGTCACACCCCAACTGTACACACAGACTCCAAATCGCAATAGAAAATGTGAGCTGCTCAAGTGATTTAATCAATTGTAAAACAAATCTCTTTGGGTCCAACAGCATTTGCTTAATTCTTTAATCACATCACGTTATGCTGAAGAAGGGAGCAGCATGATTCTCTAAAGCAAAGCAATGGATGTGCCCAATAGCACCATCACTCCCAGACAGCAACCACTGGACAGCCAAAGGTTTAGAGTCTTTTCTTGCACAGGTCAAGAATATGTAATAGGTAAGAGAATACAGACTGGCAGCCTCCGATTCTTTTATATTTTCTGCAAGCCGTGCATGAAGAGAAAGAACCGCCCACTCTTTTCTAATCTGACATAATTATTCATTCACCCATTAAGCTTTTAAATAAGTCCAGTGTTACATCTCTACCTAGCTTTTCTGAGTGGTTAGTTTGTAGGGAGTATAGATAGATTTTGGAAGATAGGGGATTTGGAAATGAACAAGGTTCTGGATGAATGAAACCAGTGACTCTAGAAATGGGTCAAGCATTAAAATGAGGCCAAGGAAAAATACATTTAGGGACTATTTCGACTTGGGACTGTGTTATTCTCTGTGAGCACCTGTTATAGGTAGAACTCGTTCAGCTCTGGAAAAGCAGTGAATTCATTCCCTTCCCTTGGTAATCATTTTCTGTGAGCAAAGCATAAGTTTATGAAAGATGAAATCTGTAGCACCCAAGAGAGAAATGTTGTTGAACTCGATTTCCCATTGCATACATTCCGCCCCCCACCACTTCCTTTAGGATAATACAAGGAAGAACAATTATACAGCAACTGGAGGAGCATTTTTTTTTTTTATAAATAGACTGAATGTCTTAAAGAAGCTCTCAAGTATCTGTATCTATTAGACTATGGAATTGTCCTCCAAGGGAAAGCATTCAAAACGAAATGGATGAAACACGAATGGAGGGAATTATCTCAAACCAGAAGCAAATGGTCTGCTCTAGCCTACCTACGCAGGTCACTTCCCAGCTCTCATTTCTATTTTGCATTCCCTTTGGTATGCTTTTCTCAAGGATTACTTTGGGCTTTAGCTGCAAAACTCCTAATATGCTTTTACAGGTGTTACTGTATGTCTAAATCCTGATGTAGCAGTTTGAAAGACTGCTGTCTTTGTCCTACATATTTTTCTTCTACTCACATAACTTCTCAAGCTGTGGGACTAGAGTCCATAAAAGTGATATTAATTTTATGTTTATGTGCACTGTATGGTTTTGATTATGGTGAATTGTTCATAATTCATCTGTCAAGAGGCTCACCCCTGTACTTCAATGTATCTCACTTACAGGGCAATGAAATGTTTCACACGACGATAAACGCTAACTTTGAACCTAATTGCTTTCTGGTTTCAACTTCAAATTTTGCTGATAAAAGTAATAATAGGTATTTTTTTACAAGGCTCAGAGGATTTGCATCATTTTCCAGAAGACAAAAGCATACACATTCAAGGCTCAGTATTTGGAAGACAGAAGTTTCGAACGCCAACAAATTGACCTCATTACTTCTGGTATTTTGATCACGCTTAGGGCATCAGGTCTCTCGTTATAAAAGCCTTACAATGCCTTCAGTACTGGACTCATCAGAACTGACCCACTTGGGATTATTTCAGATGTTTCCAGAGTCGTGTTTCCTTACTTTCCCTGTACTTGGCTTTAAGAGAGAAACAACTGGCAATGGTGGTCATTATAAAAGCACCCAAACTCAAAGCCTTTTGCTGGGGTTTGTTCTGGTGTTGGCACACATTCCTCCCTATGTGCACACTTGGTTCTTACAACCCCTCTGTACACTGAAAATCTGGTATTTATAATGATAACCCTCGGCACTGTGTGAACTACTACCACCACGGAGACATTCACTTGTCTCAGAGTTAACGGTTTGCAAAACGGCAAAGGACTTGGGAAATCACCGTTTTATAGGGGAGGAAATTGAAGCCCAGAAAAATAAAGTGACTTGCCTAAGGTTACTAAGGAGTCAATGACAGAGCAAGAATTCAAAGCCAGGTATTATCTACAAGTCCAATACTTCTTTCATAACCTCTCTAGTTTACTATAACCTGCTTTTTTCAAAAGCTACATGTTATCAATAACCAAGTTAGATCTGCAAGACAAGCTCCCCTACAGTCAATCCCCTGTAAGCCTGAAATTATACTACTGACTACCAAAGCCTTGATTTGCAGAGCTCAAACCAGGTGATTTAAATTTTCCTAAGGCTTAGGAAGTTAAAAACAGACCTAAGTCCATAGATCAACTCAATGCTTCTTTGACTATAAACTTTTCCCTAATGAATCCACATCATTTTAGTATGCACCAAAGGAAAGGCTAAACACACAATTTCACCTAGAGCCAGCATTCTTTTAAAAAGGCAATGCTAGGTGCTACATGTTACACTGGTAACAGGAGAAATGTGAGTGGGCAATCAGTACTTAATTCTGAGCTGTAAAGCATTCTTAGAAGCTTTCACCTAAAAAACATTCGAGAATTGACAAGTAGCCCTGGATCTGGGTCTGTCCACAGATATTAAAGCAAGCTGTGCGCATTTAAAGCCCTCAGGCCACATTTACCTAGCTCTTGCTGTATAACAAATCAAGCCTACGTCCTTGCAATGCTAATGCACCCCCATAGCAACTGCCTTTTCTTTTTACTCTGTCCCTTTTTGCTTGCTGCTGAATTTGGGCTCTTTGACTATTATTTACAATTCTAAGACAAAGTTCTGTATAGTATCCTCCTTATCCTCCAATAATCTTTCTCGAGGAGGAGTAAAGTTGGCCTGATTTAAGCTTGGCGTCTGTCCACCAGGCCAATGCTGTTAACAAGCTTCCCCCATGTATGACCATCAATATCCCATCTGCTATTTTAACTTCTGCTTGTTCATGTCTACCTGGACTCTAAAAAACAAACAACAAAAATACCCACAATGGATCTGACTTGTTTTTCCTTCTGAATAATTCAAGAGAGAGTTAAACTAATGTTCTTAATTGGTATTTTCTCACACTAAAAAAGTATGCTGATATATCATTTTTCAATAAACTTCTAACAAAAACAGGAAGAAAAAGGAAAGCTTTTTGTTTCACTCATTCTGAGATACTGATGTTGGCAGTTTATTAAACATTTTAATTAATTGAGATTAATCAGATTACTAGTATTTTGCCCTAATACTGATGCTTTTTTCTTGCCTACGACGTTTTCAACCATCATTCCATAGCACCTGCTTGCCTGGATCCTTCAGGAATCACTCCTCCTTCCTAAGAACGCTGATGGCTGCTCACCCCCATTTCATTCTCAATGTCACCTGCTTGGCTGCAAACACTTTATCCGCCAAAGACAAGTCTCTAAGTGAACGCTAAACCAACATTCACTGTAGACCCTGGACATTTAAGTCCATACGTATGTTCACAGCAATAATCCACTTAATTTACACAGCAGCCTTCTTTTGAGTTTCTTAGAGCTCTTTGCAGATAGAATAAAACACCTTCAACATACCGGTTTTGGGAATCCAATTACCATCTCACAAACTTTATCACATCGTACATGTATCTGTATACCAGGACTGCTCTCCATACGTTACTGAATAAGTAAGGTTGTAAAATAGAATATAATCTTTTTACTGGGCAGTTCTCACATTAACCTTTTCTTTTTTTCTGTTTTAGAAGAGACGGGGGCGGGGAGAGAAGAGGAATGCTGAAAGGGCATTATGCTTTTGCTATTTAGTAAAAGAAGTATCAACATGCCTTCTGATGACTCCTGAACATCCCTTACAAATGAAGGAGCCACAGAGTGGGGCAACTCCATGCCTTTATCACTCAGCCAGCCAAGGAAGAGGAAGACAATCAAGCCACACTTGACAAGGGACAAGACCATTCACTTTCAGGGCCAAGGGGATTAGGACAGAGCAGCATTTTCCCATAGTGACAAGAGGAAACAAGAGAATCGAAAGCATCTTTCAATTCCATTCTGAGTCAAAGAGGTTGTTCTTGCAGCCCAACTGGGAACCTACATGCAAACCAGTTCTATGAGAAAATATGTCCCCAAATTCCAGTAAGTGGTTGAAAGTGAACTTTTGACTAATTTGTTATTTAGAGACCAAATTCATTTGCTTTAGATATTTCAACATAAGAATAACACATAATTCCTATGGCTGGGCAAGACCAGGGAGTACGCACAAAGGAAATGGATATTTTCCTAGGTAGAGGTTGGAATAGAGCTGTGTCCATGTGCTCAGAGTTGCAACACATGATTTACACCTTTTGTGACACTCAGAATGGTTACCATGCTCTCAGCTGCACTGGTTGTATTTTTTGCACCATACCTACACTGTCTCTGCTCACACAAGTGCTGCCAATAATACCAGTCCCCCGTCGCAGACAGGAATGAAGGGCATCTTTCAGCAAATTTCAAAGAATAGCAGGTAATTTATCCCATAGTGAATATTAATTAGGCAAACCAAAAAACGGCAATCAGGCATGGGCTAGAAATCTTTCCCTTTAACTCCATGCTACTTCTAAGGCAGTACTAAGATATTTGGAAAACGGAAGGGTTCAATTCAGTGATGAAATTTTTCTTTAGGATAAGCTGACATATTTTCTAAGAATAGACCTAGGCTGGAAGCGACAGTCACTAAGTAACTTCCAATCTTTGGCTGTTTTTAAAAAATCCCTTAAGCAGCAGAACAGTCATTCCCAATCTTTACGAATATATTTTTAAAAAAATGTTTCAGCACCCTCATGGGATAATAGTTGAACTTTTGGTATCAGATGACTTGAGAAAAATACAAAAGGATATAAATTCAAAGCTAGTTTGAATTTGGTAATGTGTTTTGAAATAGACATTTTGCTGATCAAAAAAGCAACAAAATAGGTTGAATAGATGTTGTAACACACACATACTCGTATATACTTTAGCCTGCAGACAGAACTTGATGTGTCCAAGGATTTAGAACTTCTGATAACAACTACAGACCCTCGAGGGCTGTGGCACGGAGGCTAGAAATCACTTATCTAAGGTAGGTTTTCAAATTCAAAGCTTCCAAGTTCTATGGCCATTACAAGAATATTCTCAATTATTTTACATTTGATAACAGTATGAAAACTATTTAAAAATGTATAACCAAAATCATGAACATAAAGAAATTGTGAATTAAACCCTCACTCTGCTTCACAGCACTAGGTAAAACACGAAGGACATTTGTGGGTTTCCCAGCCACCACCCTGCAGCCATCACCTTATGTTACCAGCACCCCAGGGAGACCTGGCCCCTTCTCCTCAGTCAGCGTTAGTAAGATCAGCACTCTGTGAGGCCCAAGGCCATTCTGATGCCATGGTCACCGTTAACCAGTGAACCACAATTGAGTGAAATATAAAAACCATTCCACTTGAAACCAGAGTCCACACATGAAGTCTTTAGGCACAGTGCCTGACATATAGTAGGTGCCAGCAAATTTGGCTATTTTTATAACTATCACAAGCCAGTAATTCATTAAGCCTGGATATGAACAAAATTCCAGACCCTCATACCACTGTATGTTGCTGTGACTATTGCTAAACATCCCGGCGTGTTTCAATCCCTGCTGCTACTGCCATTCCTCTACTTTAAATAAACGTGTCTATATTCCCAGAAATCGTTAACTGAAAAGACAAAACCATTAGGGTAAGGGGTGTTGCAGCTGGAGGGCTTAAGTGCCACCAAAATATAATAAAAAGCCTTCCTAGAGAAAAATGCTACATAATTTGAAAGCGAATTGTCAAAGCTTAAGGGATAGTTTCTTCTACAGTGAGGGCAGTACAGGAGGCCCACTGAGTCACTAGCCAGTGTTACACTCTGCTCTGTCCAGATTTGTGAATGTTTCATAATTCAAGTATTATTGCTAAGATTTGACATGTTAATATTTTGGTATAATTATATTAGCATTATTTATATTTATCATAATTGTATTTCTAAAATATGTAACTTGTATTAGTAGTATGTTGTACAATAAGAGTGTGATTTGTGTAATAACTTATAATATATAATGTAATAGGATATTAATATAGTTATTAGTATAGTATTAACATTTTAATATAGTTATTAAAAATGTTTTCTATGTTTTAAAAACCAATTTTATTATGTTTCAGGGATATCTGCTTCCCATCCTCAGTTAGCATACCTCCGTTTTATAATGTAAAAAAAAAAGGGAAATCAGGATTCACCTAAATGAATATCAATCAAATGGATATTCCACAACTCAAGTGATACCTGTGAACCCGAGGTGTTAGTAAACTTAAGGGTCACCATCTACAGACTCCACAGGGATGGGAGATACTCTTGTGCTCCTATGGTTGGGGCTGCCTCTATATCCTTTGCTTTAAAATTCAGAAGGAGTGAAGATCAGCTCAGGCAATAATGCTGGTTTGTCCCAGAGTCCAGAATCTGCTATGTTACCCAGAGTCTCTTATGCTCAAAGAGGCTGTCAAAGAACGGGGTGTGGCTACCGTGGCCTCCCAGGGGCAAGTGGTCACACTCCAGCCTCACAAAGTGAGCACTGACTGTAGAGGTTCCACTATGGTCATGGTCTTAGCAATATGCAGGAAACACAGTCCAACCATTCATTGTCATCTGGGTAAAATACAATTAAACATCAAAGACTTGAGTCTCACATAGTGACATCAAAATCTTTCCCTCAAGGCAAAGAAACAACTTGTCACATGCACTTAAAAGAGGTTCTATAAGTTAACATTAGAGAGAGGAGGAGAAGGTACAAAACCCTGGGAGAGAAAAACACATAATTCTCTCAAATTAGTGTCTTCCATGGGCTGAAAACATCTATTAAATGGGGACTTTGATCCTAAAGAAAAAACGACAAAAGAATGTTGCTCGACCTCACCTCTATCAACTTTCCTCTGTTTCACCTGGAATGTGTAACTCAGCTGTCCACATCTTGGACCACTTGACCATGCTGTGTGATCCTAAGGACATAACCCAAAAGGCAATCTCCAAACTCACGGTGTCGTCACCAATTCAACATTTCTATTTTAATGTGGGATCAACTTGTCATGGTCACAATGCTGATTATGACTTCCATCCAGTTTTCCTTCTATACATGTCCAAACATGTCACCAACATGACCCCATTGACTCGGGACTTGTCAGGGGTGAGATATGAAAGGATTCAGATCTGTTTTGTTCCTGCGTGGGGTCCCAGGTAAGAAGAACTGAGATTATAATAAGTGGGTTGGTGAAGCAGCAGAAACAAAATCCTGTACTTGTTTCCAAAGCCTCTGGGAAATAACACTGGTTTTATTATTTTCATTTCTCAGAACTACTTCCAGCAGCAAGACAGTTAAGAGACACATTGGATGAGGCAACAGCGGGGAAGAAAGGGAGCTGATCTTGAATTGGCTGTGTACTGACAGATTGTATGAATGAAAGCAATAAAAATAAGCCCCAAAATCTGGGTTTTGAGTGGAAAAATCTCTTGTGAAAGGCAGTTTATTTCAACTGCGATGTTATCTTTGTGTCGAAGATAAGTCAGGAAATGTGTAGCCTCAGTCACCTGGGTTTGAATCCCAGTTCTCCCTCTTCCTAGATGTTCGACTCTGGCAGGGAAGTAGCCTCCTCTGAACCTTACTTTTATCATCTGTAAAACGGAGGTAATGAAACCAACCTCATATAGTTGTTGTGAAGAGTAAACCAAGATAAGACATGTTGGATGCCTGGTGCAATAAAACTTCATGCCCCTGAGCTTGCTCCCAAGAACCAGCGCATGTCCTAGCTGGAGGCTTGCTGCAAAACACAGGCCAAGTGGAACTCAGGGAAGCACGACAATTCAAAGGGATCAGGAGCTCTCAAGTCGTTCATGAAGGTAGAAAACTGATTTAAATTACAGCAGAATTAGCCTCGATAAATAAAACATAAACAAGATTAAAATAAATAGGATCACTGCTGTATTTATCTGGCCATTTGATATTACTGTGTCTTTACTCTCTACCACCTTTAAATAGCCAAATTTCTCAAAATAGTCATCTATACTATCCCCTTCTTTTCTTACCTTCCATTTCATAGCTGGCTAGTTCCAATCCAACCTATAATCTCATCACTTTATTGGAGTATCTCCCACTAAGGTTACCAAGTATCTCTATGTTGGTAAATTCCAAAACTTTTGTTCTTTCGTTTTCCTCTTACTAGACTCCTTAGTAGCAACTGATGCTATGCACCCTTCCCCGAACATTCACCTCCTCTGTCTTCCTTCACACAGTATCATGTTTTCTCCCATGCCACTGTTCTTCCTCCGTCTCCTTCACAAGCTCATCGTCTCTTCAGGCCACAAAGTATTGTTGGTCCCAGACACTGGGACTTAGATGTTCTCACTTTATACCCCTCCCCCCAGATGATTTCATCTTTGCTC